>NC_000010.11:51052186-51203701 GCF_000001405.40 Homo sapiens
TCAAATTCCAACCACTAGTATTGGACTGTAGGCCTTTTATTTCTTTTATGCACCAAAGGGAGTAAATCAAATATAAAATATGGCCAAAGATAATTTTTGGAAAAGAAAACATCTCTTGGCAAGAATTTAACCTGGAATTTTCTTATTAATAAATGAGGAGTGTGTTTGGTGGACTGGATTATGTTGTGCAGGCTTTCCCATGGACCAATGCCCAGTTTGAATATTCTTTTTTTGAATACATAAACAGATGTGCACAAATTCTTTTTTGCCATTTTCATTACTCAGAAGCTTTAAGAAGAAAGTTGCCCAAATAAAATACTGACTGTGGAAAAATTATTTAGAATGCAAATATATCTCTTTGTTTTATTTTTAACTAGATTTAGCCCTTACTCCATACTCCACATTGGATTCAGTTAGTAAGCACAACTTTGTTTCGTGTAAAGAATTAATAACCACCCCAATGGTAGAGAATACATGGCTGGTAGAGATCACTTATTAATCTGAAATCAGTTTTATCATTGAATGCTTCATCAATAATATTTCTATGTTCAATGTAGAGGCTTTGCCCCGTGAGAAGAGATTTATCACCAAACCAGCTAACTTTCCATGTAGTTTTTAGCATTTTGCCTGTCATGGGTTAGATAAAGCGTTTTTCTATATAAAGGGTCTTATAAAGGCCATCAGATTGACAGCGCATAGTGATTTTTTGTAATAACTAGTAGATGATACTCAAATATAAAATGTAGATTTAAAAAAGTCATGGCCAGTTGCCGTGGCTCATGCCTGTAATCTCAGCACTTTGGGAGGTCAAAGTGGGTTGATCACCAGGGGACAGGATTTCTAGACCAGCCTGGCCAACATAGTGAAACCCCGTCTCTACTAAAAATACAAAAAACAACCAGCTATGGTGGCATGTGCCTGTAATCCCAGCTACTCAGGACACTGAGGCAGGAGAATTGCTTGAACCCTGAAGGTGGAGGTTGCAGTGAGCCAAGATCACACCATTGCACTCCAGTCTGGGCGATAGCGCAAGACTCTTGTCTCAAATAAATAAATAAATAAAAACTAAAAAAAAAAACCATTTTCCACCGCCACCTCATAATTCTAAGCACTAATTACTGTTCCCATATAATAGTAGAGGTGTGGAGATACACTCTCCAAAGAAAACCTTGGTGCCACGTAATTTGGCTACAAGACAGAGTTTTTAAAATTGTATTTTTATCTTGGCAACTTGGAGGCACATGGGATCTGTATGGTTGGCCCTTTTTAATGGTGTTCATCACTAGGAATGACATTTCTGTGGTATCCTGGGCCATTCCTGTCCTCAGAGGTATACATGCATCACCCCCCATGGTAAATCCCCACCCAGTAATTGCCAATTTGATTATGGATAAGCTTTCTTTTCCTTTAGTAACATGGGAACTAGACTTTAACCTTCACAAGTGACATCTTTATTTTTAAAAAGGAAAACAATAAAACTTTGGGTTTAAAATCTGAGCAATTTATCGAAAAGATTAAACGTAAGTAGTTTAAGCTTCATAATTGCTTGACCACACAGCCTTATAGTGTTCAGTAGTTATGGGTTTTTTTTGTTTTTTTTTTTTTTAACTTTTGAATATATTGAGACATCGTGGAACTGAAGTTTGGAAAACTTGGTGGTTTGTGGGTTTTTATATTGGCAACTGACTCTTCTCAACCTCTTGGTGAAATGAAGTTATTTATAAATGCTTCTCTAGTGTACTGTTTTATGTTGAGTCCAACTTACAGTTTTCAAAGCTAAGTACAGTAAAAATGATGTAACTAAATATAAACACTTTTTATTAGAAGACTATATGTGAAACCAGCCTTTACATTAAAATGTTTCCTTTTTTTTCTAATTGGCAATATCTTATTGTGCCCCTTTGAGCTATAACTTTTGATAGTAAGTCCTAGTTCTGAGAAACTTTCTCATCTTAAACTAAACCTCATCTTGAACTAAACCACACATACATACACATTTATTTCCCCACAAATTTTTCATAGAAAAAAAAATTCCATGGAGACTTCTAGCTCTGAGGAATGTGTTCCAATTCTGTTTTTAAAGTGCAATTACATAGAAGGCATCAAGAGAATTACAAAACTAGCAAATGAAAGAATAAAGTATAAAATAAGCTCCTTAAAATGATTTAATTTGTTTAAACTTTTTAAAAGTTCAACACTTATTTTGACTGAAAATTAAATGTTACCAGGGAGGTTGATGCTGCATAGTTATATAATCAGCTTAATTAGTTGATATGGGTCATGAAGCAGATGCCCTATTCCAATAGAGTTCCAGAATTCTAGAGGAAGCCTCTCATGCCCTTAAGAATGGAGCTAAGTCCACATTATAGTAATTGTTATTATAACCTTAGGGGGGTCAAATCCTGAGAAGAAAATGGTGTGACAGATTACCAAAGCATGAGTTTTGGTGATAGGCATATCTAGGTGTGCATAGAACAGATTTTAGTGAACCTTTCGTTATAATCATCATTATAATTGTTGGATCATGATACCATAGTTATAAATTCTGTAGCTCTGGAGTCAGAAATTCCTGAGTCTGAAGCCCACAAGCTGTATGATTATATGACCTTGGGCAAGTTACTTCAGTGTTAAATCATTTTCAGTTTTCTCACGTTTAAAATTAGGATAATAACAAAAATGCCCACCTCATACATTTGTGAGGCTTCTAATGGTCTATGAAAAGCACTTAGCACAATCTTCACACTCATATGTATAAGGCACTATAATAATAAGAGCTCAGTAAATGCCAAATACTATTATATAATGATTAATTCTATTACTAATTATTATTCATGATCCCCTTCCTTTAATTTCCCCTGTATCCCTGACCATATTCCAGGTTTGGTGAGTATAATACACACACTTCCCAAGAGCTGCATGAGTGGGATGCTTTATTGGCTACTTTGTCTGATTTAGAAGGATCTCAGAAGTGGTATTCAGTACCCCAGTGGATGTGCTGCCATGTGAAGCTTCATCAGTGTTCAATGGCAGGGATTGGTTTGCTCGTCCTTGAGTCCTTCATGTCTATTGTTCCGGCCCAAATTGCCATGCAAAATCAGAGTTAGAGGAATTGGAGTGGCTGATGCCTCCAGCAGATTGACTTGAAATTCAACAAAAATTCCTGTCCCCTCATTAAAAAAAAATCTTAATTCCTTTCATGTACCATTGTAGATTCTTTAGATTATTTTATTCATTATAATCTTATAAAGCCAGAATCTATATGGTCCAGTCTCTCAGTGCAGGGTCAAATAGACAGGTCAATATCCAAATGTTCATTAAAAATAATTTTGTTTGTCAGGAGATCGAGACCATCCTGGTGAACACGGTGAAACCCAGTCTCTACTAAAAATACAAAAAAAAAAAATTAGCTGGGAGTGGTGGTGGTCGCCTATAGTCCCAGCTACTCGGGAGGCTGAGGCAGGAGAATGGCATGAACCCAGGGGCAGAGCTTGCAGTGAGGGGAGATCGTGCCACTGCAGTCCAGCCTGGGTGACTGAGCCAGACTCCGTCTCAAAAAAAAAATTTCTTTGGATTTTTAAAATGTCCCAAAAGGAGGATACTTACAAATACCATTTTCTTCTTCCAGCCCCATGTGACAACTGCTCTCCTCTCTCTCCATCCCATCTTAGTAAAAATCCCACCATTATTCTAAGCCCCTGTGTCTCCTGTTCCTTTCCTCCTTTTCTTTCCTCTTGATTCTACATTACTTATGGACAGACTATTGGTCCAGCTAAAGTCCTCTCCTCAAAAAGTGGTGGGAAGGGAAGACTGAGCCAATCAAATCAAGCATCAAACAATGAAAACCTGTAAGTTCACTAGTTTAGCAAAGATTATCAGGGGAACAAAAGGAAATATCTGGAGCCTTGGGCTCTGAGATGAGCCTAAACAGGCATGAAGGGGCAGCAGTTGTGATGAAGGCACTCTTAAGATGGAGTGAGGTTATATATAAGGGTGCCCACTCAATAGCCCTTCAATAATTTTCACTTGTTCTCCAAGTAGTACTAGATATGCTATTTGTGTTTAGCTGGGTTTCAGGGAAGGCACCTTCAGGAAGAGGAGCCCTAGCTCTGTGAATACTGGATATGCTCAGAAAAGATTCTCAGTAAAAGAGTTAACTTTCTTAAAAAGTTGTACCTGGTTACACAGGAGCTTGATCTCCCTTTACTGTTAAACGTGCAGCAGTTTACAAAATGACTACTTGGGAATGCTTGTTTATTATAAGAACAATTCATGCCAATATTAAGGAAATTATGTTTTCAGCAGTTATCTTTGGCCATATCTTTCCTTCTATTCCTAGTTTCATATCTTGATTAGACCTTTAATATGGCAGCAGCTTCCTAACCTGTCTCCTTAACCCTAGGCTTTTCAGTATCCAATTCATTTGACATCATGCTGTTGGAATAGTTTTCCTGAAACACAGCTCTGATCATGACACTTTGCTGAAACTGTAGCTACCTTTCCATTACCAAGTTAATGTAGTCTACATTTGTCAGTTTGACATTCCAAGATCCTCTTCAATCTGGTCCTTGTCTGTCTCCTATCTGCCTTTCACCCGCTCACCTTTCTGCTCTCTTCCAACAAAATGAACCCCTGACCCCATGTCTGCTTTCCCTACATTGTACTTTTCCTTATGCTGTTCCTACCCCGTCTCAAAAATCTTCCTTTTCTTCCTCCACCTATTCACATCCTACTGTATTCTTTTGAACTGAGATCAAATGGAGACTTTTCCTGTTATATCCCAGTTCTTAAGACATATTTCTACTAAAATCTTCTTTTCCGATTTCTTGAATGTGTATACATGAAAATCATACCTGAGTTATACACATTTAGTAAGTTCTTTTATTGAAATATCTAAGATATAGTAAATCAAAATATTTTTGAGATCTGGAATGTAAACATCATGTGCGTATGCACACATATATATTGTGTGTATATACACACACATACATATGATGGCCCAAGTCAGTTTTATGTAGATAATTCTATACCTGACATTTTGAGGTCAGGATATATATCTAATTAACTTTTTATTTTCTAAAATCTAACAGTTGATTGTTGATTGTGTAATATAAATGTTTGATGATGGATTGGGCATGGGGCCTTTGCACCTTGTAGATATCTAAAATGATATTCAGTAATTCCTTGCCAGTTATTCTTAGTAAAATCAATATGGATTTTGTTTTATGCTTCTGTAATGCATTGTAACACACATAAATAAAAGTACTTAATTCATAAGTCTTCAATGAGTTATCCTTACAGCAGTATAATCACCACTCAGATTAAGAAACAGAACTTTCCCAGATCCCCAAAAGCCTTCCTCATGCCATTTCCCAATCACCAGACCCACTTTTTTCCTCAAAGGTAACTATTATCTTCACCATTAATTTTTTGCCCATGTGATATATATTCATTTATGTCTGGTGTATTTTGCTGAGTATTGTTTTGAGTTTTATTGGTGGTGTTGCTTGTAGCAATGTTCACTTACTTTTACTGTTTTTATATTCTATTGGATTAATATATATTTATCTATTCTAATGTTGATGGACATTTGTGCTATTGCCAGTTTGGGATATTATGAATAATGCTGCTACAGATATTCTTGCACACATTATTTGGTGATAATAGGTATGTATTTCTCTTGGAGATATCCTTAGGATTGGACTTTCTAGATTATGGGATAGCCATATAATTAGTTTAGGTAGACGTTGCCACCTAAATTTTCCCAAGTGGCCATAACAATTTATACTCCCACTAATAGTGGATGAAAGTTCCTATTGTTCCACAGACTAAGGATTGCTGTGAATTCTTTTCAATTTTAGCCATTTGGGTAGATGTGTGAGATTGAAGTTTTAATCTACATTTCCCTGATGACTAACGAAATGAGCAATTTTTCATGTTTCTTGGTTATTTGGATACCTTCTTTTACGAAATGCCTGTTCAAGTATTTTGCCCATTTCTCTATGGGGTTGTGTGTCTTGACTTATGAGTTTTAGGAATTCAAGATAGCATCCGACTTAACCTTTTTGCTAATTAAATATATATTATAAATATCTTTCCCTACTTTGTAGTTTGCCATTTGACTGTAGTAATTATGCCTTTTTTATTTTTTCAAATAGACTTAATTTTTTGAGTGAAAAATGTTAAAAGCAGAATAGACTTAAATTTTTAGGTTTTAGCCTCACAGCAAAATTGAGCAAAAGGTATAGAGATTTCCCATATATCTCCTACCCCAGTATCCAGTATTCATAACCTCCCCCACTATCAGAGTAGTACATTTGTTACAATCAATTAACCTTCATTGGTACAACATTATCACCCCAAATTCATAGTTTGAACAAGGGTTCATTCTTGCTTCTCTAGGTTTGTATAAATGAATAATGATATGCATCTACTTTGATGTCTTTTGGTCGAACAAATTTTCTAATTTTAATGTGGTTCATTTTATCAGCTTTTCTCCTTACAATGAGTGCTTTCTCTTTCTTGTTTATGACATTATTACCTACTCTAAGTTAGTGAATGAATACTCTCTCCTTTCCCCTGTTTTCTTTTAGAAGCTTATCTTATCTCTCACAGTTAGAGCTACAAATCTTCTGAAATAGAATTATTGTATATCACACAAAAAGGGGCACAAGATTCATTTACTTGATGTATGAGTATTTAGTTGATGCAGTACTATCTATTTAAACGACTATATTTATGTAGTGTCACATTTGTTGTATATGAAGTAGCTTATGTATGTAGGTTTATTTCGGAGCTCTCCATTGTAATCTATTGAACCATTTGTTTATCCTTATGCTACAAATGTTTGTTTGTTTGTTACTGGTATAGAAATACATTTTTAACCTTTAACATAAAATTTCTGTATGCTGACCTCAAATTTACTTATTTTAATAGTTTATATGTAGGTCTATGTCAATAATTATGCAATATTTTCTAATTTTTATGAATTTTACTTAGTGTTCTTGCCTTATTTCAGTGGTCAGACCTCAATTATAATGTTGAATGAATGTGGTGATTATGGACATCTATTTCTTTTTGTGGTACCATAAAGAAGTCTTTTAATAATTCACCATTAATTATGAGTTTTTGGTAGATTTTGTGTGCATGTGTGTGTGTACATTTTAACAGATAAGTACTGTCTACATTTAAATTATTTATTTATTCATTTATTCATTTATTTATTTTTTTAGAGGCAGAATCTTGCACTGTCATCTAGGCTCCAGTGTACTGGTGCAATCATAGCTCTCTGCAGCCTCAAACTCCTGGGCTCAAGTGATCCTCCTGCCTCAGCCTCCCAAAGTACTGAGATTATGCGCATGAGCCGCCACACCTGGCTTATTTCAAAATTTTCAAAATTATTTTAAAATTATAAATGGATTTTGAATTTTATTAAATACTTTTTCATAATTATTGAGTTAATTTTTGTTCATTTCCAGTTTAATTCTTCTGCAGCAAGACACCATGATTTTAGTCTTCTGACATTTGTTGAGACTTGTTTTATGGTCAGCATATAGTCAATTTTAATAAATATCCCTATGCACTAGAAAATTATGTGTTTTGCAATTTTGAGATGAGGTGTTCTATGTAGTGTAATTAACTCACGTTTGTTAAGTATATTGTTTCTATCTTTTACAGCCTGATTATATTTCTGCCTGCCTAGGTCTATCACTTATTCTAAGAGATGAGTCAAAATCTAATAAGATATTAGATTTGTCTCTATCTCTTCTTAGCATTATGAATTTTTACCTTTGCCAATGTGAAGGCTGTTATTTAGTGCATATAAATTTAGAATTATAATTACTTTCAGATAAATTAATCATTTTATTATTAAGAGATATCCCTTTTTAACTCTAGTAACACTGATGTTCTTACTTCTTTGTTATTGTAGTAGAGCTATATCAACTTTCTTTTGGTTTGTGTTTGGATTATATTTACCATTTTTACTATAAGCCTTTGTGTTTCCTTATATAACAGTTGTCTCTTGTAAAATATATATAGTTTTTATTTTATTCAGTCAGATAGTCTTTGTTTAGTAACTGGAGTAATCTGTTTAGTTTATTTACTAATACATTTTGATCTGTCATTGATCAAATCTTTGATCTATCACTGTACTGTTTGTTTTCTATTTGTGATTTTTGTTCTATATTAATTTTTCTTTCCTTTTTTGCCTCTACTTTAATGAATCTATTACTTTTAATATTTCAGTTATCCCTCCATCAATTTGTTATTTATACAAGTTGTGCTTCTTTAAGTGGTTACTCTAGAGAGTACAACATGTAATACATGCTGGCATTAGTAAAATTAGAGGTAAGTCATTACATTTATTAATACTCAGACAGTGAAATGACCTAACAACATTCAACTCTATTAGCCCCTTACTCTCTTTTATATTATTGTTGTTAGATGTTATTGTTTTATATAGTAATAATTTATATACATTTACCCTCATATTTGTCCTTTCTATGATACTTACATTTTCTTTAAATCTTTGTGCTTTCATGTGGATTCATTTTCTTTTAAAAGATCTGAAGAATACATTTTATTATCTCCTTTAGTGTGATCAGTAGGTAACAAATTCTCTAGTTTTTATTTCTCTGAAAGTATACCTATTTACCTTTATTTTCAAAGGATATTTTTGTCAAGTATAGAATTCTTCGTTGTCAGATTTTTTTTCAGCCGTTTGAGGCTACCATTCTATTGTCTTATGGCTTTCACTGCTTCAGTTAAAAAGCTGTTATCTTATTGTTCCTTTGAAGGTTGCAGATATTTTTGTCTGTCTGCTCTTAGGAGTTTTCTGTTTTTCATTGTAACAGTTTTACTGTGTTATACCTAGGGGTGTGTGTGTGTGTGTGTGTGTGTCTGTATTAGTCTGTTCTCATGCTGCTAATAAAGACATACCTGAGACTGGGTAATTTATAAAGGAAAGAGGTTTAATGGACTCACAGTTCCACATGGGTGGAGAGGCCTCACAGTCATGGTGGAAGACGAAGGAAGAGCAAAGGGACCTCTTACATGGCAGCAGGCAAAAGAGCATGTGCAGGGGAACTCCTCTTTCTAAAACCATCAGATCTTGTGAGACTTATTCAGTATCATGAGAATAGCACGGGAAAAACCTACCCCCATGAGTCAATTACCTCCTACCAGGTCCCTCTCACAACACGGGAATTATGGGAGCTACACTTCAAAATGAGATTTGGGTGGGAACTCAGCCAAACCATATCAGCGTCTTTTATATTTATTGTGCTAGTCATTTACAGTGCCTCTTGAAATCTGTGGCATGATAGTTTTTATCAGTTTTGGAAAATTCATAGTGATTATTTCTTCAAATACTGCTTTTGCTGTATTCTCTATTTTCTGTCCTTTCGAGACTCCAATTATATAGAGGTTAGAACTTCTCCCATAACTCCACATCTCATGTCCTTTTTCCTATGTTTTAAGATTCCTTTTCTTTATTTAATGTAGCTACTTTATTTGGACTTATCTTCCAGTTTACTAATTTTGTCTTCTATTATTAAAGTTGACTATATAGAGTTATTAATTTTCAGTTACTGCTTTCTTTCATCTAAAATTTCAGTTTCAAAAAGTTCTTTGTAATTTCCAGTTTTCTGCTAAAATTACCAACATTTGTATCACATTTCTGAAACATAAAATTGTCACAATTATTTTAAAGCCCATTTCTGATAATTCCAATATCACAATCTCCCATGGGTCTCCTTCTGTTGCATGGCTTCTACTGTTTTCCCAGTTTTAGGTTATGGGGTGTTGCCTTGTTGTACCTAATTGTTTTTTATTGAATCCCAACATAGGTGTGAAAAATTGTAGAGAGAGTATGATACTCTGGATTATGTGATCTTCCTTCATGGAGGATTTACTTTTGCTCCTGATGGGCAGGAAGACTAGGATCAGATCACCCAAACCAATTATAGATTGAACAGATATAAAGCAGGGTTTCAGTCTTATTGAGTACATGGTTATTAGCAGTTAAAGTTTAGCCTCTCTGGAATTCAACTGGTTGGGCCTGATTTCAGTTTTTTTCCCTCCAGCCACTTTAGACTTTTGAAGCTTTGCTCAACTTCTTAGCCTCTCAGCTTCTAATTTATGCTTACTTACTTATTTTCTTAGAAGTATTTTGTGATTGGTGAATACCTCAGAAAAACACTGAATGTTGGGCTGATATCTCTGGACAGACTTCACTTTTCTCTGGGATATTGGCCCCTCAATTCCTTGCTGCTTGGGAGTTTTCCAATGCCTTATTTTTATATTTTTGGTTCGGCTTCTCTAATTATTATAGGTGGGAGGGTTGATTATCAGTAAACGAATCTTCCATCATCAGAAGAAGAAATCAATAAGATAATCTCTTGAATAATAATTTATTTTGAATTCAAAACAGTATCTTTTTTTTTTCTATT
Organism: Homo sapiens; assembly: GCF_000001405.40. NCBI lineage: Eukaryota > Metazoa > Chordata > Mammalia > Primates > Hominidae > Homo > Homo sapiens. The sequence continues at coordinate 51,062,635 of NC_000010.11, forward strand.
TTTTTGAGATGGAGTTTTGCTCTTGTTTCCCAGGCTGAAGTGCAATGGTGTGATCTCGGCTCACTGCAACCTCCTGCTCCTGGGTTCAAGCGATTCTCCTGCCGCAGCCTCCTGAGTAGCTGGAATTACAGGCATGCGCCACCACGTCCAGCTGATTTTTTATTTTTAGTAGAGACGGGGTTTCTCCATGTTGGTCAGGTTGGTCTCAAACTCCCGACCTCAGGCGATCCGCCCGACTCAGCCTCCCAAAGTGCTGGGATTACAGGCATGAGCCACCGTGCCCGGCCCAACAGTCTCTATTGAAACAATAAAGATAGGTTTAAAAAAATACAAATAAGCTATTAATTTTAGCTCATAGTGGTATTTCAGATTTTGACAATCAACTCAAAATTTTTCTTAAAAACTTTGAAGCACAGTTTTAGAGAAACATTCTGTTTTTCTGATTTTTAACTTGAAACAAAATTTGGCAAACTTTATACATTATTAGAAAAATATGCCAATTGTTTGCTTGAATGATTTCCTATTTTTCCTTGTTATGGGTATGTTGAAAAGGATATTAATAGTGCCGTTCATTACCAGTAAGTTAATAGAATACTTCACTCAAGTACAGCTGCGTCATTTAACAACAGGGATACATGCTAAGAGACGTGCCTTTAGGTAATTTTATCATTGTGCAAACATCAAAAAGTGTATTTACACAAACCTAGATGGTATATAGCCTATTACACACCCAGACTATATGATATAGCGTATTGCTCCCAAGCTACAAAGCTATATAGCATGTGACTGTACTGAATACTGTAGGCAATTGTAACATGATGGTATTTGTGTATCTAAACATATCTAAACATAGAAAAGGTACAGTAAAAATATGGTATAAAAGATAAAAAAGGTACAACTATGTATAGCAGCTTCATTAGAATCTTACAAGACCACTGTTGTATATGCGGTCTATCATTGACAGAAAAGTTATTACATGATGCATGACTGTACGTTAATAAGAGTCATTTTCTAAATTAGGTTATTACAAGTAACTATAAAAGTGGCAAGCTTCCATTTGCATCACTATCGAAATTTTATAATTAGAGCTTAATTTTTTGAGGATCTGCTAATTAATGTCAAAAGGAAACCAGTGTTATTTACCTGTTATTTTTATAATGATTGTGTTAAACAAAGACACACGGTGCTCAATATGGAGTAGAACATTTGGACAGTAGAGGGTGCAATTGTACCTTTAGTTCTGTATTTTAGTCATTAGAAATTAGTATTTAATGGCTGAGAGATAAATTTGAAGAATGTACTGTTTGTTGAAGCTGTACACTATGGAAGTGTATTTGAAATAAAATGAGTCATGTAAAGAAGGAGTACAAATTTCTCTTGTCATGTGATGCTTTGCTTTACCTTGTACTTTTAAAAAATGAAACATTTAAATCTCAATCAGAAACTATTTGCTAAAAATATTATTTTTAACTGAATAAAGAATATATTTTCTACATATAGAAAGGCATATCATATCAACATGACATTTTTCTGTTGTGGAGCTTTATTAATTTTAATTACATATGTTTTTCCTCTTGGGAAATGGTGCTTCCAAAAGGATTAGGTATATTGATGACTGCCTCATGAGACTCCCAGTTTGTGAGAGGAAAAATCTAATTAAAACCACTAAAGATAAATGATGCAATGCCAAGAGGGTTTTTACATTCACATGGTTATTAATGCTAAGGTTTTGTTGAAGATCTAGAAGTTTCACACAGTTATGAATCAGAAACTTAGATTTCTGTTTAGACACTGAAGCAGCATTATAACATTGCAGTTAAAAGCTTAATTTATAAAGATTTTTGGGATGTATATATGCAAGGCTTTGACTTTTTATCTTCAAATTTGACTCTTTAATAGATAAGGATTTGTTTTATTTTCTCATAGGAACGGCTTGTCTTTAGGTTTTTTTAAGGTTGACAACAATTACTTTTTCAAGACCTATATTCAAGTCTAATAAATTTGAAGGGCTTACGAAGTATTCTTTCTGACTTTTTAAAATTACAGAAAACATCTACCTGAGAAATTTTCTTTTTTGCATTAACAAACCATATATTCCTGTCTTTTGATTTAATTGAACAACTATTTAACATAGCATTGTGACTTTATAATTATTGCTAATTCCCAAAGGTTAGCACTTTCATATTCAATTGATTGTGATGTTAAGCTTATGATTTTATATCTAGGGCCTACTCTGACATTCTATGGAGAAAGCAAAGCAAGAACAAGGGAGGGGAGATGGGAAATAATATATGTATGTTAAGAATTAAGTTAGTGAAGGAATTTTGCAGATGGAGGTAAATTTGCTTCTTGAACTTTGTTTAAATCTTAACTTTCAAATTATAAATGATCAGGTAGGACACAAGCATTGGTTAATAATCACAGAAGTTATTAAGTATATTAATTGAAAGCATCTGCTTTCGAAATAATGTCAAATGGTATGAATAGTTTTCTACAAGATGTATGTATTAAGAAGCACTAGTAAAGAAGGCCAACTCCAAATAAAGCAGTCAGCTTTTGGAAGAGTAGCTGGAACTGTGGAAGAAACAAAAAAGAAATTGCAAAACTGTTGATCCTGTAGACATTGCCAGTGTTACATAAAAGAGCACTGTACCTTGAAGACAACATATTATAAGCCTAAGAGTAAGAAAGAAGGTGAGATTATGGTGATTTAAAAGTGCATTGAGAGAGTTGAAAAAAGTAGTTGGATATCAAGACACATTATTTCCTAGAAAAAAAAATCAGAGTGACAGGAAGAAAACATAGTTACCATGGGCCTTAAACAGGCAAATATGTTGTTCAAATAGGGATGTATTTTTTTTCCATAAAAGAAAACCCATTTTAAAGTTAAGCCTCTGATATATTTGATTTGTTACATACAGAAAGGCTTAAACTAAGCCTCTGATATGTTTGATTTATTAAATATTACACAACACCATCAATAAACAGAAAAGTTTTCCCTTTTGATTCTTTTCCATCAGAGAGGTGTGTTTTGCATTTTAAATAAATAATTGTTGACTGTATTTACTCCTACCTTTATTTATTCAACGCAATTAGCCAGTATAGTGAGCGCCTTCCTGTTCTAGGTGTTGATGAACAAAATAGACATAATTCTTTGCTTTCATAGTTTACAGTCTAATGGGAGATGTATCTATCTAACAAATATTTATGCAAATATTAGGGTTAGTGTTAGGGTTAGAATGCGTAATATATAATTATGCATTGTGATAAAGTGCTTTTAGAAGGGAAAACATTATGGGGATGATTCTGAAGGATTATCAGAGAGAGTTTTTTTAGGGAAGAACTGAAGATTTATTGAATAAATGACTCAAGAGATGAGAGGCGGTAATGGGGAAGTGATAGGGCTAGGATTTGAAGGCAGTGAAAGGGGTTGAGAATAGGTCTTCACGGGCAAAAAGAGAATTCCCATTGGAAGCTATGAAATGTTAAGACGTAATTGCTTAATGCTTGGAGAACTTAAAGAACTAAAGGATCACTGTAACACTTTGGTAATTAATTACTCATCAAATGCTCTACCTTATTTTGATCCCATTGTAGTCCTTCCTTGAACATTTTCACAACCTAAGCAATAATCCTGTGACCCAGTCTAATTTTAAAGGGAGGAAATTGATTATGGATCAAATGGCAAGGCTAATCCTTCCTGTAGGCACCAAATTTGTTATATGTTCATGGTTTTCTGTCATGTCATTGGCTGTGGCCACAGGCTGGGCAAATTGTGGTTTGAAAGGGGAGATGTGAGTAGTTGACAGTACTGTTTGTGGGACGAGAACTGTGTGTTCTTGTCTCAGATATTGCTGTGTATGTAGATAGCAATAGGGGATTTCACAAATGGAGAAAATGCTTGTACTTTCTATTAAATTGTCTAACTGACTTTTAAAGTATTAAATGCCATGAATACTCAGGTTCAACACTGAAAGTATTAGAAGAAGGAAGGTTTAGTTGTTAAACAATGTATATATTTACCATTTATTTACATGGTATATACAGTATGTAATATTTTATGTATTTACTGTATATTTATTTTGGAAATTCATAATACATACTGGAATGTTAAAAGTACTGATATTAATACTGAAAGAAATCTCTTTTCTTACATTTTTCTCAATCTCTCCCAAACATTTTTGACCATGAAACCCTTTTTCATTACATTTATTACCATTTTAAGGAAGTAGTGTTCTTTAGTTCACATTCTGAGGGAAGCCCTGCATTAGAGTCGCCTGGTTGCTAGCAGAGCTTTCTTTGACACTCCTCTTAGAACAACATATTTGCCTGCTTAAGATCCATGATAACTATGTTTTCTTCCTGTCACTTTGAATATTTTCTAGAAAATATGTGTCTTTATACAACTACTTTTTTTTCTTGAAAGAATCACCACTTAAAAGATTCCACCTCTCAATCTTGGTGCACTGGGGATTAAGTTTCCAGCATATGAACTTTGGGGGAGACATTCACATCATAGCTAACACATTTGCTTTTTTTTTCTGTGGGAGGTGGGATAGGATGGGATGTTAAGCCATGGCATATGTTGCTGTCGCTCCTTTAATTATCTGTGTTTGTGTGTTTGTATGTATGTGTGTATATATATATATATATATATATGTTATTTGTGTGTGCCCTTGAGAGTGGCATAAAGTAAACTAAAAAATAGACCAAACATGGAAACACTGTTATCTTAGGTAAGTTTTAGTTCTGTGACTGCTGAGAGAATATTACTTGCTGTTTTCTGATGGAGGGTCTAACCAGTGGAAACTGGAAAATGAAAGTAAGCAATTTTCACTAAGTTCTCTATGTTCCTAACAGCAGCAATTGCTTTTAATATTCCACAAATAAACATTGTGAAGATTTCCCTGTTATTTTTTCCACTTAAAAGTTGTAGTCAACATAGATGATTTTCTAAAGAAACTAGATGATTAGAATTTTGGCTGTATTATAATCTGGGGAAAAATTAGATGAATTTTCCATAATGACTCTCTACATTAACTCTTTGAGTAAAAAATTTGTATGTAATACAGTGACTCTAGACAGACACTATTTTGTGCTAATATCAAAAAAGTGTGAAATTTCCTATTGTACATTTATTTATATGGTGCATTGAAACTATATGATACTTTAGATATTGCTGCTTTGGGTAACTTCTTCATTATATAGGTGTTTGAACATTTGTCTTTTAAGTTTAAATCTGGAACACTAATATTTATTCTTTACCTACCAGATTAAATGCCTGTGCTTTCAATAATGAATTTTTAAAAATCCAGTCTAGACCATGAAGGAATTACTGAATCTTCTCTAAAAACCTACATTAGGCAAGGCCAATGATAATGTTGTAGTTAGTTACAAATACATAGTGAATGTATGCATCTCCTGGGCCCCAGCCTGGGGCTTCTACCCTTGTTTCAAGAATAATACGTGGCAATATCTTGGCCCTGGAATGATATCCATTTGCTTTACTAGCCTACTATTTCATTTGCCTGTCGTTAGAAAAGTGGATTTCTGGATTTCCATCTCATGATGATTATAGAAAAGTCACAATTTGAAGATTCCTTAATTTGAAGCTAGGTGATATTTACATGCCCATTAAGTTAATGAGAGTGGAGATCTCCATGTATTTCCCTACTATGTCTTTTTGCCTGCAAAGCCCCCTCTCCCTTGAATCACTGACATTCTCACAATGTAAATAAATTTCTTGACATCTTTCTCTTGCCCAATGCAGTCATTTGACCTACTAATAAAAATTCAATTCACCCAAATTTCTATTTCATTGTCCTTCTTACATCTTTAGTATTTTCTTACCTTATTATTTTTAAAGAGTTTGCTAGCAAAACTTCAGTTTTCTTTACTTTAAATTTTGGTTACAAAACCTGTAAGAAGAAAATGGCCAAGTTATATCAACTGCTAAATACTAGTTAAAATACAAACAACAGCAAAAAAGACAAATCATGGACTAGAGAGCTATTCTATAAGCCCCACAATATCAAATCTGTTTTCAGAATCAAAATTACTTTTAAAAATACTTTAGAATATTTTGTGGAAAATATTGATGATTTACCTTAGTAAAAGATGCACATTTAATATACCAGAAGAATCACTGAAATGGAACTGAGCAACTCTAACTTATTTATCATACAGGTATGTTGCATGCTCATGTACATATTCATTACGCTTCAAATGCAGTAAAATGGTGTCTTGTGAATAAAGCATTTTAAATTCTATTTTATGCATTTAAAAATTTTACACTTATTTCAAAATACAAAAAACCTAATATTTTTCTTGATTTTTTTTCTTTTGGCTATTGTAAATGAGCAGCTGACTAAAGAGTACAAATAAATATTCATTTTGTTAGATAGCTCATGAGTTTTCATGAGAACTAGTTTAGCCTGAGACCCAATAATAACTTCCCGTCATCTTAAGAAGGGGACTATAAAAATTCATTTCACCTAATATTAAGCATGACACTAATTCAGTATTAAATGCTAAGTACATTAGCAATTATGGTACAGTACGCTGTTACTTTCCAAGTCTCTGCAGTAAGTTTTTCATCATTAATGGTTTATTATTTTTTTCTTTTCTACGCAGAACTTACCATTTGAAATAGTATAACTTGAAAACAGCCAAACTATTTCAATTTTTACTTATATCCATGTAAATATATATTCCTTATGGCCAAATCTATCCACTAAACACAATTATAAAACTAGTTCTATAGGAATTAATAAAATAGCAGGCACTTGAATCCCTGTACTTAATTCACAGGGAATCAATGTAAGTTCCAGTTTCTGTAAAAACAATAAAGCAAAAAGGGATCCTTGAATTATTGTCTAATTTATCAAAGTATAATTAAAATTCTATTGTCTGACTCATCCCCCTTTATAGTCCAAAGACAGTTCCGGTTGTGCATTATTATTCATTGCAATAGGATGATTGCTTTCCTAAAACATATTAACACAAAGTAATGTATAAGTGGGTTTGTAATGTGCCTAAAATAATAGGTATTATCATTACAGATCTTCCTTGGTTTTACTTTTCTATCAGTAATGTGGAAAGCAAAATTTGAAAATATTTATAAACTAGAGAAGCTCAGATATTTTGAATTGAATAGGGTGACCAACTCTCCTGGTTTGCCCGAGACTGGAAGATTCTTAGAACTTTTAGTTTTAAAGACAGGACAATTTCAAGCAATTTTAGGATTAGTACAATCTCTGGCAAATGGGTTCAAGTTACTTACCCTGAGCCAGAATGTAATCTTGTTGAAATAAAGACAGGACTGTTTTGTGAAAAGGAACTTTTTGAAAACCTTGTTGCTGCTCTTTCAGGATTTTCCAAATTTGTCCTCTTCACCTCCCTGACCCCTAAGTCAAGCAAGTTGATGTTAAAGACACTCTTCTCTCTCTGGATACAGAATAGGACAGTAGCAACACTTATAAGTTCTGCAGAAAGTAATGAGGGGTAGGGGCCTCAGCTCTACATCACCTAGTCTGGATATGAAGCCAGTCTTTGCCATTGATTAGGTGAATGATTCTGTGACTCCATTTTCTCTAATATTAATAGAATATTAATAATATTGAACTTATAGGGTTGTATGAACAATACCTATCATGCATTAAGAAGTCAAGGAAGTTAGTTAATTTTTTGTGATCTTGATTATGATTAGCAACTTAGAACAGACCGTCATGTCTGCCAGTAATAGCTTTAAAATCTAGATTCCTAGGAGGACTTGTTACTTTTAGCAATCTTCTGCCAGAGGAAGCTTCTGTCTCCTGAAAGGCTCAGCTATATATTTGTTTGTTTATTTTTTCCCATTCAAGATATACACATGAAATGACAGAAGAAAATTTCAAAACTTAAGATTCTTCCAGGAAATACAGTGTCAGTGGAATGGATAAGTGGATAAAATTAGCACAGTTCTTTTGGGCTAATTATGTTTTTAGTGAAGGATGACAAATTCTACAGATTTATTTTTGAATAGCCAGTATTATAATAAAGCTACTTTATTGGAATAGCTCATTAAATGATTCTGAGAATCCATTAAGGAAGGCATGTCAGTTTTTATTCTCAATTATGAGGATTGGGTGCAAGACTAAAGAGCATGTTGGAGTTCAACAGGCCACAGTTTGGTCTGGCTACCAGTAGAACTTTGCTTCTATTAAAGTTATGAAAAAGGAAGACTGCTGAAAAACAGGTTGTGAGTTGTTTCTGGAATTCTAGAGTATGAAGTCAGTTCCTTCAAAATTGCATTGTTCTAACTGTTAGCATCTAATGTCAAAGCTTCATCTCAGATAGGCAGTGGGGCAGGGCTCAGATCAAGCCATTCTCCTCTACTCTATCCCTGAAGGAATCTGAGGTAGACACTTCCTAATTAGCAGAAAGTAGACTTGTGCCTGATCTTTGATCTTGTAATTTAGCCAATTAAGTTTACTACATGACACTTAGTAAAGATAATTTGTCTGTTAAGACGTAATTGCAGGACTTTGATTTTTCACATAGGGTTTATTTCCAGCATTTACTAAGTACAACGCAGAAGATGTTTAAGAAAATATTGGAAACACTCAAAAGGTTGAGATGGAAACCTGGTCGCTCAAGATCTAAACAGCTGGTCAAAAGCATCATTGAAAAACATACTTAAAATATTTATTTTTACTTTAAAAATGAAAGAGAAAAGGCTAGAATCCTGGATTTTGCATATGAAATTATAAAGCATTTAAGGGGAAGTCAATTTAAAAAAATAACACAGCCTGAGATAACTAAATATATTCTATTCCTTGAACACCTTTTAAAGTCAATTGTAAAAGTCATGTCTTTTCAGCTTTTTACTCTATTTGTGTTTGTTATAACAGATTCCTGACTCTCAATATCAGATTCATCCTGGAACAGATTTTATATCATGAGATGTAAATTTAAAATGAAAATGTAATGTGTATACATCCTATAGTTGCATTTAGATATGCCAGCTTAAATACTGATAAGTATTTACATAATTTAGTGTAAAAAAACTCACTTTTTTCCAAAATGCCTAAATATTTTTGGTTTTTTTATTTTTGGGGAAAGTGTTTTAGTTTTTATTTTCCTTTGTACATGTAGACAGACTTTCTACAAATGAGGAAGAACCTTCTCTCTTTGTGCTGCTCAAAAACATTAAGTAACCCCATTTAAACCCTAAATAAACTCTAAAACATCAATGAAAAACGTATTTAAAATATTTGTTTTCACTTTAAAAATGAACGAGATGGCTGGGCACAGTGGCTAATGCCTATAATCCCAGCATTTTTGGAGGCCAAGGCGGGCAGATCACGAGATCAAGAGATCGAGAACATCCTGGCCAACATGGTGAACCCCGTCTCTACTAAAAATACAAAAACTAGCCGGCGTGGTGGCGGGTGCCTGTAGTCCCAGCTACTCCGGAGGCTGAGGCAGGAGAATCACTTGAATCCAGGAGGCGGAGGTTGCAGGGAGCTGAGATTGCGCCACTGCACTTCAGCCTGGGTGACCAGAGCAAAACTCCGTCTCAAAAACAAACACACAAACAAACAAAAAAAAAACAAAGAGAAAATCCTGGAATTCTGAACCCAGCTTAGCAGTTGTCTAATTATGTCCTCTATACATTGTATCTGGTATATTTTTAGACATAAACTCATGGCTTCATGAACCCCAATAATAGATCTATAGGAAAAAGTCATTTTGTATTCAACATTTTCCCATGGAAATAAAGAATTCCCACAGGTTAAATAAGAATTTGGCCTTTTGCCCAGAAGAAGGAAATTTTCATGGAAGCTTTTTTAGAATACAGTGAGTTATACAAAGTCACAGTACTTCTGCTTGGTTTACTTTTAATTAAAACAACAGTAATTCAGAGCTATTATTATTTTCAATATTTGTAAGTTGCTCATTTCTTCATTGCAAAAGAAAATGTTTTGAGAATGATCCATTTTATATATCACATTTAGAAATAAATGCACTTCTGAAAGTCTGTGTTGGAAAGCAGAAAAATGAAGTGTCTTGTGTAATCTGCATTAAGAGAATTACTAGATCATAATCTACATAAAAGAATATTTAGGACTATATATTTTGTCATTTAGTCCTCTAATTAAAAACAAGGACACTTTAAATGAACAAGCTTGTTAAGATACCTTGACCTCCCTCCCTCCTTTCCTCCCTTCCTCTGTCTCTAGCTTAAATACAAAAAGTTGTGTATTCAAAAGCAACAGTGTGCAAGTTATTTTGATACTATTCTTTGCTAAGTTTAGAATTGCATTGCAATTCAATTTTATTTTCTGTCCACTTTGTTTTAGTGTTAAGGAATAACCAAATAGAGCATTGAGGATTATAATATTGAGTGCCCAAGAATAGTAATCAAAAATCTGCCAATAAAGATGCTATAAAATTGGATGAGTTCGTAATGTCTTAAGCAAATATTAGGGATTTAGGTACGTATTAGGCAGATATTTGGGGATTCTAAACATGTGTTCCCATGATGGGAGTGTAACACTTGGATAGAAAGGAAGTTACCTAATTGTGATCATTTTGGGGAATATTGAGTGGGCAGGGATGAGGGTGGGAGTGGGTAGAGGTGGGGGTGACTGCAGTATAGTGTACAATTCACTGCAGCCTGCGTGGTCTCCCTCGCTCCTTCACGATTTTCCCTCTTCTTCAAAGTTTGTGTCAGGATGTCTTCCTGGCCATTCAAGTGGAAAGATACATTCCTAACAGCTTGGTTGTGAGGAAAGTAATATTTTTAAAGGTATGATTCAGTTTCAAGATGAAATTTTTGGAGCTCGGGAATGATTTTTAACCCCCACCCTCTCCCCGCCAAATTCAGCAAATGGAAGAAGCAAGGCCCATCCGAGAACTATTCCCAGGCACCAGCTCAAGGCGGAGGGCTCATGGGGAAGCTGAGTGACCTGCTAGGGCCCAAATCCGTTTTTGGCCTTTGCCCTAAAACAGTTCCCCGATGAGAGTTTGGAAGGGGCAGAAAGGAAAGTAACTATCTGGAGCAGGCGAAGAGTAGCAACGCCTCGGGTGCTAAAATCGGAAACCCCACCCCCTACCCCACAACCCTTTCCCAAAGGTAGTAGGCTGAAAGGGGGAATTCCTCGCGGGCGCCGACTCGCTCGCATCTCCTGAGAGGCAAGTTTCTTCGCAAGCGTTAGCCACCTGTGTGAGGCGCTCTGGGTGGGAAAGGTGGCGTGGGAGAAGCGACAGCTCGGCCACACCGCTCGGGAGCTTTCCTTAGTGAGGCCGGCCGTCAAAATACCTCCAGAACTCAGAGCTTTGATGATGCAGAGTCCCCTATGCCTCGTACGTCGCTAGGATCGTAGCTCAACATTCTCCAGGCTGGTCTGCTCTGGAGTCAGCTGAGGCCTCCCGAGTTTGCCCGGGGTCCTCCCTGTCCCCTCCCTCCCACCTCCCCACCCCCGAAGTAGCGCTCCCGCCTCGCTCCACCCGCACACCCCCGGCGCGCCTCGGAGGCTTATCAGGCTCCCCGCACGCCCCGCAAGCTTCCTTGGGCGCCCGGCGCGAGGGACTCTGAGAGCCCAGCCGCTGCCTCGGAGCCCCCATTCACGTCCCCTCCTCCCGCTCCCCCGCCACCGCGCCTCCGACTCTTCTCCCCCGCGCCGCGGCGCCCACCGCGTCTCAGGTTTAATCCCGGGTTGGACCTGCTGGTTTGCTCTCCCCGCTCTGAGCCTCACAGCCAGCCCAGAGAAGTGGAATCTGCACTGAAACTCTGGGTGGCTGGAGCCGGCGGACTGGGCATGCTCAGAAGCCAGGGCTGGCTTTGGTCTCAAGTAGGAAGCTTTGGCACTCGGGAGGCAGCGGCGACTTTGGGGAAAGTTGATCGGAGAGGGGAGGAAGCCTCAAGACGCGGAGCAGCGGCAGGAAGGAGCCCCCGGCAGCCCGGAGGAGCATGGGCACCTTGCGGGATTTACAGTACGCGCTCCAGGAGAAGATCGAGGAGCTGAGGCAGCGGGATGCTCTCATCGACGAGCTGGAGCTGGAGTTGGATCAGAAGGACGAACTGATCCAGAAGCTGCAGAACGAGCTGGACAAGTACCGCTCGGTGATCCGACCAGCCACCCAGCAGGCGCAGAAGCAGAGCGCGAGCACCTTGCAGGGCGAGCCGCGCACCAAGCGGCAGGCGATCTCCGCCGAGCCCACCGCCTTCGACATCCAGGATCTCAGCCATGTGACCCTGCCCTTCTACCCCAAGAGCCCACAGTAAGCAGGGGTGACGCGCCGGGTCCATGTGGCGCCCTGGCGATGGGGAGCTGCGGGTCTCTGTATTGTCTGTCGGCCCCCGCCCCTCCCGCTTGCCATGTCTGTCCTCATCCTCAGAAATGTTTCATTTTAACGGGCACTTCTTGCGGGGCTGTGCACGTTTCTCAGAGCCAGACTCACTGCACATACGTTGCCTTCGTGTCTTTGTCAGATGTCAAGGTATTATTTTTAAATATACATATACATTCGTATAAGCCACCTAGTGTACGTAGAGTTTGAACACGTCCCAGGTGTGTGTCCGACCGTGTGTGTGAGTGTGAGAGAAGAAATAAAAAGCCCCCGTCTCCCAAAAGCCCTGGCAAACCAGCCCAGCTGGAAAATCCTAAATGCAGGCTCATCAGACTTGAAATGAAATGCGTCTGATCACCCATACTTTCTATGCTTTTGTGGCTCTCCCGGATTTCTCTACCTGCTGGCGCTTCACGCTGGTACCCTTCAAACCTGACGTTCTTGTCATCATCAAAGTGTGAAACATAAGCAAATAGGCATAGAAAAAGGAAGAATTTTTGATTTCCTGAATTGGATGACATTTACAATCCATAAATGGAAGACTAGTCTGTTGATTTTGAAGAAATATTTTTTCATAACATATGAGGGAGAAGATTGCTTATTTTACTTAAGAAACGTGCATAATGTTACTAATGGAGCATCTCCATCTCCCAAGAGGTGGTTGCTTGTTTCCAGGGTCAGATACAGATAAGCACACTTATCTTATTTAAAACGTGGACCCATTGTTTGCCTTACTCTTGGCTTCTAATGCAACCACTCTGGCATTGTTCTAGCCTTTTAGGGAACTGTGCAATTCTGATGTTAGTGGGCTTCATAACTTGGATGGGAAAAATTTAATGAAACTTGTTATACAACACTCAACTCAGAGTTCATATGGAGAGTAAAGCGACAGGAACATGAGGTTAACAGAATGTGGGAGAGCACCCAAAAGAACGGCATTTTAAATTAATAGATAATAACGTAATTGATAAAACCAAGGATATTGCTGCTTACTCTACTACTAACGAAATCACATTGGCTGGATGGCACGTGTTACGTAATAATGCAAGGTCCATCGAAACCCTTCACTTCATAAATACAACAAGTTAATATAAGGAGAAAGTAAATATTTGATTATCTCTATTTGTATTTATTGGATGTTTTTTGGGGAGAATCACAGCATGTACCAATTACTACTTTTGAAAACTTAGAGTTATACCTATACATGTTGATTCCCATGGAACATTTGCTGTTCATGCAGGCTTAGTTTAGGGAGGAGTTTGTATTCTGCGAGGGAGTTGGAAAGAGACAATAAGGATAAACATTTCTGAGATTCTGACCTTACCAAATTGCCCTAATAGTTCAGCAGACTTAGATCTGCCTTAGAAACCTGAGTGATCTGAATAAACTTCAACTTTCTCTGGTAAATTAATTTGCAATCCTGACATGCCTGACTGTTTTAGCTAACGAGGTACATGACCATCTCTCCTGGGCCAAGTTTTGCATAATGAAAAAATAACTCAAAGACAGCTCTCTGCATCTTTAAACATTTCATAGGATCTCATTTTTGTATCCGCAGGACTTTTGAGTGACACAGAGCAAACTCTGCTTTTACAAAAAGACCACTTTAATAGGTTTCATAGTGAAGCATGTTGAAGCCAGCTGATAACTCCAGTTACACATTCCATCAGAGATTTACAAGATTCTAGGCAGTAGGGAATGAGCTATACAATGTGATAAGTTTAAAAGCCTCTTTGTACATGACTTGTAGAATATCTAGATTGAAAAACAAACAAACGAAAAAGGTCCAGAGTGGAAAATAAAGCTGGTGTGGCAAATAATTTACAGCATCCCATTATAATAACATTTTATCTATCATTATAATAACATTTTATCTATCAAACAACACTGTGTGTCCTGATACTGATTTCTTACTAATAACTTGTATTTTAAAGGACTCAGCTCTTAAGGTATTGCCATGATGCTTTGGGTGACTCTGAAGTATTTTATTGAGGAAAATGATAGAATGCCTTCCAAGCTTAAATAATTTTGGAAAAACATCTGTTCTTTTTTCACACTTACATAAAGAAAACTAGAAAAAAATTGGCTTGAGTAGTAGAAAGTGTACCTTTCTTAGGGAAAAAAGAAGTACATTGTATGCAAAATGAATAAATCTTATGTTGTTTGAATGGTTGTACAAGGTAGCTCCACAAAGAGTTAAGAAAACCTGCCAAACCAAAGAAGACTTGTTTGCCTTTCAATGTATTTCACTATGAATAATTTGATTACACGGACTTACTGGCAACAAGTGTTTGTGTCTTTGTATTTCATCTTTACTACATCTTAAATGTAGCCATCTTTCTTAAACATACATATAGATTATTGTGAGTTTCCAGTTAAAATGAAACTATCTAAATAGACACATTAATTTCCAGTTTACGTTCATGCTAGTTTTTGATTCTCTTTTTTTTAGATGTAGGTAACTGCCCCGCTAATGTTCTGTTCATTTATCTGATATATGCAAATATATCTGTTTAGTTTTTACTTACTAAGGTTGCCTTCTGAGGATTATAATTTTTTTTAGTTCTGGTTTCTTGGTAAATTTGGTCATTTAAAAATAGTATAAAATGTAAATTAACTTAATAACTTGAATCATTTTAACATTTTTGGCTTGGAATTTTTCCTTTAATGTGGGAATTGGAGGGAAGGTTCTGTCAGATTCCAGCACTGAGCCAGGACACTCCTGCTATAACTATGAGGTAGGAGGAGGGTTTTTATTGGTCTCTTTCACAATCTGTATAGATACAATACTTATGTGAAGGAAAGAACTGATGTAGCAAATTGGAATCTGTATTCCACTGCTACCAAATAACTCCTTGAGAATGTAAAACTACTAAACTATATTTGGAAATAAACTGAGCAAATAAACCCTTAAAATGAAAAACAAAACCTAAGCATTCATTATGTGAGATCAGATAGCCTGTTGATTGCCTATATAGAATAGTTCTTATGGACTTAAGTAATTTTATTTCATGAAGTTTCATTCCTGAAATTGATTCTATATCATGTTAGAACATTCAGTCTCTGAAATTTTGATCTAAACCCCTTATCTTTTGAAAATATTCCCAAATCTTTTCCATTTTCATGTCACAGGGTTTCAGTCATTTCAGTTGGATTATATAGACTTGAGTTCCTAAAAGTGGTTAGTGTCTTTGTATTTTTGTAAGCTGTTGCTTTCACTCCATGTTCTATTTTGTTTCCTTTCTTTTTCCTTTGTTGTTGTTGTTGAGACAGAGTCTCACTCTGTCACCCAGGATGGAGTGCAGTGGCACGATCTTGGCTCACTGTAACCTCCGCCTCCAGGGTTCAAGCAACTCTCCCATCGCAGCCTCCTGAGTGGCTGGGATTACAGGCACGTGCCACCAATGCCTGGCTATTTTTTTTTTTTTTTTTTTTTTTTAGTAGAGATGGGGTTTCGCCATTTTGGCCAGGCTGATCTTGAACTCCTGAACTCAGGTTATCAGCCCACCTGGGCCTCCAAAAGTGCTGAGATTACAGATGTGAGCCACCACACCTGGCCCCTGTTTCACTTTTTCATTGCGAAGTACTTTGGAGGAGTTGAGGATAAAAATATTTATTTATATTTATTTATTTATTTATTTATTTATTTATTTATTTATTTATTGAGACGGAGTCTCGCTCTATCGCCCAGGCTGGAGTGCAGTGGTGCCATCTCAGCTCACTGCAAGCTCTGCCTCCCGGGTTCACACCATTCTCTTGCCTCAGCCTCCTGAGTAGCTGGGACTACAGGCGCCAGCCACCACGCCCGGCTAATTTTTTTGTATTTTCAGTAGAGACGGGGTTTCACAGTGTTACCAGGATGGTCTTGATCTCCTGACCTCATGATCCGCCTGCCTTGGCCTCCCAAAATGCTGGGATTACAGGTGTGAGCCACCGCACCCGGCCTATTTTTATTTTTAAGGAGGCATTCATTTTAAGAGATTATTTAATCTTTTAAACTTTATACTGATATATCTCAAGAAAAACAAAATGTTCCTAAAGACTGTATATTAAATTCTGTTGGAAGTTGAGAGAATTCTAGAATTCTAGTGTAATCATAGATGGCATAATATTAAAACATAGATGGCTTGAAAGGTAGAAATTTAATTCCAAAAGTGCCCTACATCTCAGTTCAATACTTCTATGGGATTGCCTGTGACATGCAAAATATTGTAAGGCATTAGAGGTAAGAGCTACATAGGTCCTACCATCCAGGAGTGAACAAGGGGTTAACAATACTGCACAAGTAAATATTCTAGAAAGTAGATAGAGTAAGGTAAGTCACAGGGGAGATAACTAAGAGAGTTGGCAAAATATAATCAAGCCTGTTTGGTTTTATGGTGTCAGAAACTCATGTGGAAGTAGAAGGGTTTAAAGTAAGTATTTGAAGAAGGGCTATGATTTAGGTGAGTGGAAATGAGAGGAAAGAGGGAGGGATAGAGATAGGGATTGGGGAAATACATTCCAAGCCATTAGCAAAGTGACAGCACAGAAAAAGAAAGCAGGGCCCCTCTGGGAATTGGGAGCAACTAGTGGCTGTGCTAAAGTACTGTAGTGGGAACTGTGGAAAAGCAAGTTTAGGCCAGTGAGAATGAGAATCTTGGTTTCTATGATTTGATAAAGTAGGCGAGAGGGCATTCTTTTGGGTTTTAGAATAGCTAAGGCTCATTTGTGTGTGTGTGTGTGTGTGTGTGTTTTACACCAAGGACTAATAGTTACCCACTAATGCAGTTCTGAATGCCAGAATATCAGTTCAGCTTTCTTACCCCCACCATCACAGTCCTGTTAATAGTCGTAACTATATAACTAGGTAAGAGTAGTTAATTGAAGCAAACAGCAGATGATTAGAAGTCTTAAAGAAACCAAGTTCCAAGTTCCTTTTTCCACTCACTTCCAAATGTTCTCATTGAAAGTAATCTAACTTGATGCCACAGACTAGCACTGCAGATTCCTCACATACCTAGGCAAACTGAACATCAATGAGAATTGAACCTGAAGTTGTTTTTCGAAAGTCATCTTTCTTGTTTTTGTGGAGGAGTTAAATTCCAACCTAATGTTATTCTAATAGAGTTTCTAATTTAAGGTTGATTGTTAATTTGACATTACAGTTTATGCAGTAGAAATGAAGTCCCGGGAGCATTTATAAAAATGTATGAGACCAGCGTGCTAAAACCCTATTAGGGTATTTTGAAGCACAGTCAAGTTGCATGCCCCCAAAATGGGTCTTATAATGAAGATACTGGTAAGCTCTTAAATAGAATGGCTCTACTACCTGCCTGAGAATATAAATTACCAGCTTCCTTGCTCTACTGGGTCACATTTCCAAGCTCCTGCTACTTGTTATCTGGATTCCTAATGGGAAAGGGTAGAAGAACACAGATGATGTTTCTATTGTTGCTGTTTGCAGGTTATAAGGCATATGGACACATTTTTTTTTCTGTCTGCCTAGCAATGGAGGGTCTCCATGGTATCCTAGCAACCATATTCGAACACCAGGCTGCTGCTCTTTCTGCCATCTCTACCATAGGTGCTGCAGCCCATCCCAAGAAACTGGGTCTGTTGCTAGCATTCCAGATCCTCTGACTTGAACCTTTCAAGCTCAGAGAACGCAAGACAATGTGATAAATAAGCACATGCTGAAAGCAGCATTTACCAGTATGCTCAACAACTTATTATGCAATCACATCCTTGGCATTTTGTATCCTAATCTGAATTGTTGAGCTGGTACTGTTTGCCACCCCTTCCCCGACAGCCCTTGTCTGCTTCCTCACACTCAGTTCTGACACCGGTTCTGCTTCCCTCTCACCATCTTCTGTAACGACTGTGTTCCTCAGCACTTCCTTAAAATTTATTTTCTGAGAAGTTCAGTATGTGCAACCTGTTTGAACTCTCTAAGGATAATTTTGTTTGTAAGAGCAGAGGAATTTTCTCCCTCCAAAACTGTCCTGTAAATATAAACAATAGCACAAAAACTTCAGCTACACAAAACAGATGTTTAACACAATGTGGAACTAATAGTACACTCTCAAAACTGTCTTATTTCTGAATGAATTTTATAAGCATACTACTCTCCAGCTTTTTTCATTGCTTATAAAATTCATATAAGCATTCCTTCTGGAGGCTCTAGGGGAGACTCCATATCTTGTCTTTTTCAGCTTCTAGAGGCTGCCTATATTTTAAGCGTGAAATTTATAAGCAATGAAAAAAGCTGGAGAGTAGAGTGAGAAGAAGAAATGCATATCGAGGGAACAAGAAAGGGCGAAACGAGATGGGTATTGGTAAAACTATGCCATATTTGCAAGGAAGTTGGAAAATAGTGATAGGCTTTGTGTGCAAGTAAATAGGTGACAAGACTGGAAAAGAGCTTGCAAGTAAGATAGTACTTTATGGATGAAGACTGCCATAGAGAAGAGACACCCAAATTAGAGTATATCGAAGGCTTGCCTTCTTAGGGAGCTATACTGAAGATAGTTTCCCATTAGACCAGTGCTTGTTTTGAATGCATTGTATTGTCCCTTTGAAATGCTCCTTAATTTGACATCATTGAGGACTTGGTGGTGTTTGTGCAGCCAACAGTGCAGAGGACAAGAATAAGGGCAACAACTCAGTGCATCCTGCTTCTGAATGAAAGCATCAAGAATTACACTGCTCATCATCATCAGATTGGGTAACATTTATGGAGCACTAACTCTGTGCCAGGCACTGCTCCTGTGCTTTATATAGATTGTCTCTTTCATTGATTGAATGATTGATTGATTGATTGAGACAGGTTCTTTCTGTCTTATTGCCCAGGCTGGAGTGCAGTGACACAGCCATAGCTCACTGCAGCTTCAAACTCCTGGGCTCAAGTGATCCTCTTGCCTCAGCCTCCAGAGTAGCCAAGATTATAGGCACATAGCACCACACCTGGATAATTTTTAATTTTTTTCTGTAGAGACAGGGTCTCAGTTGCACAGGCTGGTCTTGAACTTCTGGCCTCAAATGATTCTCCAGCATCTGGGCCTCCAAAGAAAGTGCTGGGAATACATATGTAAGCCACCGCACCCCACCTGATCATCTTTTTTTTAGGACAAAAACAACCCTATGAGGAAGATTCTGGATTATCCCAATTTCACAGCATGAGAAAAAGAACTCTGGGGCGCAGAGAAGTGAAGCAACTTGCCCACAGTCACACTAGGTTGAGCCTGAATTTGAGCTCCAGAGCTTTTCTCCTTAGCCACTAGGCTCTCTTACTGCCCAAAGGGTCATGGGGATTAGGTAGCTGCAGGAAAACTTTATGAATAACATATAGGTCATTCTCTGGGGTGTATCTGTTCACCAATAATTAAATAGGAAGCAGAAGGACTCTGGGACTAGTGGAAGAAATAATGTAGGACGGCGGTTCCCAAACTTTCCTGCGCATTAGAATCACATGGGGAACATAAAAATCCAATTCCTAGATTGTACCACAAACCAATTAAAATCAGAATGTCCGGGTGTTGGAAGCTACATATCAGTAATTTTTGATGATTCTCCATGTAACTTTAACGTGTAGCAAAATTTGATAACCACTCTAATAGGAAGATGACAAGAGGAGTGTGTGTGTTTGTTGTGTGTGTACATTTGTGTGTGATATTAAACAAAAGACCAGGATAAAGTGTTCATCTAAAGAGTTGAATGTCTCTATTGGCTAAAACCTTTAAGCACTAGGGGCCTGCGAAAGCATAGCTGGATTTTTTTTTTTGCCAAATTGTACGTGTAGACAAATTGTACGTGTAGTTTAGTTGATGCCTTCTTGTTTATTCTCCTAAACAAGTGATCATTTCCCTACCTAGCCCATTGGTTCTCAAACATAGCTGTATGTTACAATCACCTAGGGAGCTTTAAAACATACATTTGCTGGGCACCACCTCCAGAGCCTATGATTTAATTGCTCTGGGGTAGACCTGAGGTATAGGTATATTATTTTTACTCCCAAAGTGATTATAATATTCAGCCAGGGTTGAGAAACCTCTGCTATGACCCATTCATTGTTGATTGTTACAGACTACTTGAATTCCTATTCTTTGGGGAAGCACCTTTCTTGTTTCTTTTTGAGCAACCCAAGTCCCTGGCTTGCAGTGGAGCCAGGCAGCTTCAGCTCCCCAATCTCCCTAGCATCTGAACCTATCAGCATCACTTTAATCTCTGGGGTTACCTGTTAAGGACCTGGGGCACACAAAAGTGGCAGCAGCTCTGTTCAGTGGGTAAGTTTGTTTCCCCTTTCCTGCCAGCCAGGGTTCCTGGCCACTTTCAAATGTGACACACATTAGGATCAGCTTTCATCCCAAGTTTTTTGTTTGTTTGTTTTGTTTTTAAATTCTTGCTGAGGGCAGCTGCCTCTGTGGCCAGATAGTTTCTTTGGGTCCCAGCTCCTGCTATCCAATGCTAAGTTGAAGGTGAAACAATGATGAGCGCCTCTTGGAAGAGCAGTCCTGGGCTTGTAGCGTCTCTCTTGGTATGTGATGTCTCTGCAGCCAGCTACAGTTTTTTTTTTTTTTCCTACAGATATTTTATCCTTTTAAGGCAAACAGCGTGAGCTCAGGCTGAGGAGTACTTTCCGAGGAGACTTCAGAGAAAGCAGAACTAGCACATCAACCTTTCAGCCCCCTTTCCAGGAGGCTTGGTTTAAGTGGACAGATCTGGGCATTGCTGGCAGTTGAGAGGTCGGAGACGACACCTGCAATAAAAGATCTTGGTGTGTCCCTCATGAAGACTTCCAGGGGAAATGAGAATTCCTAAACCCTGTGGTCAGACCTCACTGCTGCCCCTATTGCCAGCTCTGTGTGTCTTTCCTGCCCTCTGTCCCCTTAGATCCTTGTTACAAAGTCCTCAAGGTGTTGCTAATGGTCTCTGCTAGGAGCCTATTTACATTTGTAATTTAATCATTACCTTCTCAGGTGAGGATCAGCCAATATAGCACTTTATATAAGCAATGAAAATAGCTAATATAATTGCAAATACTTTTTGATAAAAATAATCTTAGAATCGGAGTCAGCAAGGAGCTTTTCTGTCTTTTCCCCACTCCTAAAATATGAAAATGTATTCAGCTGACAGATAGTATGTTAAAACAGAATAGATGTAATAAGGCTACCCGGAGGATTGGGGACATTAATTATGCAGGGAAGTTAATCATAAGTAAAGTAAACACTTTCATTATGAATCCAGCTTCATGGAGTGCATTTGGTTATTGCGCGTAATTGGGGAGGGATAAGAGGAATTAGAAACAATGAAAAACATGACCAAAAACATGTGTTTAATTATTATGACTTAGCAGTTAGAAGCAGAATGATAGGCAGAAGTTGGTGGTAGGACACTGGGAAAATATCTGTGTCTTTGCATTCTTTTATTCCAACCTATGAAAGGATGGGAGTTCATATAAAAAGAAGAAATTAGTGACAATTTACTACCAAGATATACTACTTTCACCTGCATCAAAAATAAAATAATGTTAATTACTTTTGCCTTTCTAAAGATCATAAATGTAAATTAAACTTCAGATTTGCTTTAAGATAGATGTAATTTAATTCACTTCTACATAGAGGTGGAGAGAAAATAATGTAAGCTATTTACTTATGCTTTGGCTGGGCATAAAACATGAGTAAATACCTTACATTATTTTTATGTGATTATAATATGCATCAAAAAACAGATCTAATGTTATTGACCTTCTAATATTTAGTGTCATTTTCTCACTTTTAGACCCTACCTACTGTTAAGAAGTAACATTGTACTTCTTTGAACATGAGGTAATTATAGTATCATCCAGTCAGTTTAATTTGGTTAATTGGATTGAATGTCAATGATGACAAATACACTCTAGTTAAGCAGAATACTTGGACTATTTTCAGAAACAATTGTATTATGGTAATATCAAGCTTTCACCAGATCTTGGCCAAGGAATAAGGAGATAATGTGAGGAAAAAACATATCTTCTGGATATACTGTACATCATCTTAATGGTCCAGTTTTATCAGTAAATTATGGTTTTGACAATGCTTCTAAGTTTGGACTGAAAAGAAAGAAGAAAATATGGCCAGGACAAAAAAGAAAAATGCAAAATCTAAGTTTTGCTCCTCTGGAGTAATTGCTACAGATGGAAAATAGGGTGGGTTGGTCATAAGCTACCATGCCTACAGGTGGCTGGCAAACATGCTGTAAAAGGAAGCACAGCTCCACACTTGTATCTTCCTAATACCTACGTTACCTAATTCACTGGTGACTAAGTAACACGTTTTGTATTAAAGCGAGTAAGAGAAGATAGCCTTAGATTAGATTTGTGCTGGTTTGACAGAGTGTCACCATATCCTTCACAGAGAAATATTAAACATCTGAAAGTGACAGGTACCATTTTGCTAAGCCTGTGTTGACAACTCATTATGTCAGTGGGAAGAGAGAAATAAGAAAATATGCACTGGAATGAACCCTAGAGTGTACACTGCATGCACTGTTGAGTACAGAACTTCATGTGAATCATAGTCTTCATTCTCGGTAATTGCTACTCTTTTATTTTTGAACTTTTGGAGGGTACCAAAGCTTAGAAAAGTACGCCCAAAGACACTTAGAAAAGTAAGAGTAGTGTTTTTTTTTTGGCTGGGAGATCGATTCAGTGAGTTCCTCTCTGAGCAAATGGATTTTACTTAATGTAACTTTTTTTTCAGTTCTGAATGTTAGAGGAAAATCTTTTTACCCCGTAGTGTATGGTACAGTGCAAAATGAAAGAATTGCTCGAAGTTTGTAGTTATTCATTTAATACCTAGCTTTATAAAAATGTAATGTGAACTCCATCATACACTTGTATGAGCAGTGTTTCTTGTTATAGATCTGAAAAGCTTTAGAAATAATGTGAAAGAAAGAATGCTATAACTTTTAAAAAGAATTTTATCCTTGGTCAGGAAAAAGTCATTTTTCTCTTCTTCAAAATTTTACTTCGATTCTTTGTTCTTCATCAAAGGAAAATATGACATGAAAAATTGTGACTTGCCTGATTCTGCTTTCCAGATGTTTTACCATTACTTAGTATGGAAACCTATATTCTCTTGTTGGAAAAAAAGGAACTAAGCGAGAACTAAGTGATTCCCTGTTTATGTAGCACTGAATGGCATACAAATAAGTAGATGTTACTTTGAAACTGTCCTCATGGAAAGCAATGGCAAATAAATAAAATAAGCTCACTGTGAATGAGTTATC
This sequence comes from Homo sapiens, assembly GCF_000001405.40. Lineage (NCBI taxonomy): Eukaryota > Metazoa > Chordata > Mammalia > Primates > Hominidae > Homo > Homo sapiens. Next base: position 51,086,218 of record NC_000010.11, read on the forward strand.
TTTTTTAACTTCTTGACACCTTTTACATACTTCATGAATTTATCTAGGCTTTGCCTTTCCGTTGGTTTGCTGAAGGCATTAACATATTTATTTTCCCTTCCTTTTGGCTTTTGGTGGGAAATGCTCAGCTTAATAAAAGTGTTTTCTTTCTGATAGATAACAGCTAAAAGGGTGTAGCCCATGTCCTTTCCAATAACAATAATTAGAGAAAGAACTTCCAGAAATAGAGAATTTAGGCACTTAGAAGCATTATGGATATGTGTGTTTGGGTGTTTGCTTACATGTTTTTAAATAATTATAATAACTTTTTTCCAAAAATTCTGATATTTGAAGAGTATCCATTAAAATTCATATTCTATTCATTATATAACCACGATAGTTTAAGCAACTCACCCCCTTAGAAAATGGAGAACAGAAGAACCAATATTGAAATATTTTGGTGAATATACCAAATTTGGTGTGCAGACAGGTGTATCAAGTTGAACAAACAGATTACTAGCTCCTTTATCCTGAAGTGTAAAAGCAAAAACACTGATCATCAAAGAGGAGGATACTCTTCTCGAGTGACCCTTTCTCATCTGAGGTTCGTCTTATCTTTTGGTGCAGTCACTGAAGTCCTGTGCTATGTAAGTCATCTATCGTAATAGAGCAGTGCTCCATCTTCTGGATTCCTAAGGGTTACTGTCAGGGTGATGGATGGAAAATGGCTCAAGTATACATTTATTTTTCTTGGCAAGAGTGAGATTCTCTGCAAGATGGTCTTAGAGGTTATTAAAGAATATCTCAGAAAACCCTTGCTAGTGAGTTTTTAAATCGTCTCTGACAGCTTTTCCCTCTCTTTCTTGACTCCTGTTAATAGATTTCAACACTTCTTTTTGTAGATCAATCCATTGCTTTATCATCATGAAAGGAAGAATATAATATTAACAACTTCTCTTGCTCAAATTAGGCTCACTTTTTTTTCTTCATTTTTTTTCTGGACCTAGAAACAATTTCCTCTCCAAAGAAATCTTTGATAAAGTGAAAGTAGTAATTGTTACTTTTTAGCCTTGTCTTTAATGGTCAATTATTGATGATGATGATGATGATGATGATGATGATAATGATGATAATTACTAAAAATATTTGTCCAACTGTATACCATATATGTGATCTCATTTAATTCTCACAGCAATCTGATAAAGTAGCTACTGTTATCATCCCAGTTTTTCATATGGAGAAAATGAGGCACAGAGGAATTAGACAACTTGCCCAAAACAAAACAATGGCCTGAAGTGCTGCAATGCAGGGTTATGTAAGCCCAGAGCTCATGCTCACTCTCTATATGCTCTGTTGTTTAGCTATTTGTTTCATCAACTCATTTTTAGCAGAAGTCTCTTGTGCAGTTTTGTTTCTTTTATATAGAGAGCTCTTTGGTAATTTTTAATATACTGTATACCCATACTCATGATGGTCATGGGTGCATTCTCTTTTAGAGACTAGCGTGCCTTAGTATAATGATAGTTCTTTCAATAATACTGTATTGCTACTATATTCAATTTTGGTTTGCTGTTTTGTTTTGTTTTGAGACATGGTCTCACTCTAGTGACCAGGATAGTGTGCAGTGGTGCGATCTTGGTTCACTGCAACCTCCGCCTCCCGGGATCAAGCGGTCCTCCTGCCTCAGCCTCCCAAGTAGCTGGAATTACAGGTGCATGGCACTACATCTGGCTAATTTTTGTAGTTTTTGTAGAGACAAGGTCTTACTGTGTTACTTAGGCTGGTCTTGAACCCCTGAGCTCAAACGATCCACCAGCCTTGGCCTCCAAAAGTGCTAGGATTACAGGGGTGAGCCACTGTATCCAACCTCTATATTCAAATTTTTATTAAACACAACTACATATACCTAAAGCATTTCTAGCTGATTCATACATAGAAAGTTTTCCTCATCTTGTACTTGAGTATTTTGTTTGTTTTTAGTTTAAAATTTTTAAGTAGCTTCGGCTTGTTCCTCTTGAATCAAATTTCCATTTTGAAGAAACATTACCTCAATTTTCCAATGGTTTACTTCCTCACTGATTTCCCTCTTTTCCCTTAAATATTAATGTCTTTAATAGAAATTTTTGGAAAGTTTATCAATGCTTTCTGATTCTTTATTCTGGCAGTTAATAAAAATTTCTATGGATTGGTTTTCAGTTTTTTTTTTTTTTTTGGTTCAATCATTTACCAAATATTTGTTAAGGAACTAATATAGGGTAAGACTATAGTATATGTGTCTTCTTCTCGCTCACATAGCATTTAATATCTGAAAATCAGTGGTTGTAGGTTATATGCTAAAAAAGACACTCCTTTGTTTCTTCCAACATGGATTGGACCCAGCATTCCTAGGTTGGGATTGGGCTTCCATTTCTCAGTGTTTGGGTTTGTGGTGCCGTGTACATTTTTTCCATATCCATCAGAGTTTGAATTTCTATGTTTTGACTGTTATTGGTTAACAACTACTTCCCCCAGAAAATAGTAAGTTACATGAAAACAAAGTCAATTTCTCTGTTGCTCCATGTTACATCCTTGGAGCCCAGAAATGGATGGCACACAGTAGATATTTAATATGATTTTTTTTTTTTTTTTTTGTCAAATGAAGGACAAGATAAAACCTCTTCATGTTTCTGGCCCTTAGATACTTCAGTTTTTAATTTACAGTTTAAACATTGGAAACCTATGTCACTGAGCTCAGTGGAATTTCCAAGCATGTTTGGTATTGCATTTGGATGCTTTGGCATGCCTTTGTGGATTGCCTGTGCTCCAAATGGTCATGATAATCCCTATCACTCCATACTCTCTTCAACTAGCCCATACCCCTTGTTTATGTTATTGGCCTGCCCTCTGAAGGCATTTCCATTTTTCAGATTGGGATTACAGTCATGAAAAGTTCTTTCTAGTTTGAATAATCTGTGATTTGTAATGCCTTTCCAAGGAAGCACAGTTGTTCTCCAACTCTAATAAATGTGTAATCCCAAACTCTGCAACATAAAATCTCATAAATTGGTTAATCTTAAAAATAAGATAGACTGATTGCTAATAAATACAAGCATGGGATTAGTGGAAATAGAAGATAATCTTTTCAAATTCTTACTAATTTTATTTTGCAGACACAGCCAGAACACGTACTAAGAAAATCCTTTCAAATTTAGATATAATTTTTACTCTCCAAAAATTCTTGAAGATCTTAAAATTATGAGTTGGTAGAGACCATTAATCACATAAGGAAATACTTTTTAACTAGGTGCTTGCCTCAACATTAATCAAAATAAACACAGGAAAAATGTGAAGGTGGAATTTGCTTGTATATTGTCTCTTAGCTCTTCAGGATGGAAACTGAGAACACCTAATCCTATAAAAAACTTTTCACCTCATCTAGTCATATGCTTATGTGAGTATCTGAAGTTATTTTTCTAGGTGACCTATTTACCAATGCAACTATAGATTTTGCAACATATTCATTGGCTAGAAAAATAAATATGTGTATGATTTCATTTATGCCTCACAATACCTGAGCAAATAATGGAGGACAGATCATCACTGTTGTACAGATGAGAAAATTAATTATCAAAGAGTTAAGGTAATATAACCTAAATCCAATAGTTCTTAAATGATACCACTGTAAACCCAGTAGGTCATCACACTTAGCTCAACCCATTCTTCACACTCTGTGGGCATTCATGTACTCATGAGATTACCTTGAGAAGCCACTGACTCCTGTGATTCAGCAATGCATTTATGGAAATTACAGTAGGTAAGCTCAGAACATGGCATATACAATGGATAGGAGAATGGGTTCTAATTTAATTGCTACTTTAGCACTAACTAGGTGTGTAATATTGAATCTAATCTTCCATGTTCTCACTATAAATGAGGATTATAACATTTCCCTGATTGGAGATAATGCTTGAGAATCCCCAGCCCAGTGCTCAAAACATAGTATGGGGCTCAATAAACAGTTGCTGTTGAGGTTCTCATTACTATCATAATTTTTATTAGTTTTGTTAAACCATTTTCCATTGATAAAGTGCTGTGTACATGTCTAAACCAAATGGAAGAACATGAGATGGAAAGAAGTTCAGTAATGACAAGGTCCTGGAGTAGAGCCCAACACAACCCAGCTTGGCTTTACTGAGTATGACTCAGAGGAAGATTGAGTGACAGAAAGGATCCTACACAATTTCTGTGTGGGATAACTGTGGGCAAGAAGGGTTGAACATAGGCAAGTGTGAAGTTCCATAATAATGTTATTTATTTTATTCAATGAGCAGTTACAGGCCTACCAAAAATTTAAGAATGGATTGATGAAGTTTATACTGAGCACTATGTATTTAAACCATGTTAAAAAAATCATGAAAATAATTGTATTATGCCAAGGTAAAGCTGTTTATGCTCTAAAAGACAGGAAGTGTTAGTATTTAGTGGTTATTCTGTGCAGATACATGTATGTGAAATTGTAATAATATTGTTCGTAACATTTATTTTAACATTTGCAGCCACTATATATGTAGACTATGGCATTGCTGCTCTGGTTGAAGGTTTTAAAGACCCACTGCTTTAATGATTTGATTTAAATCCATCAAAAGTGTTTAAAGAAAAGTGGCTTCTCTGTTTGTTGAAATGTTTGCATAGAAGTCATTCACTAGTAATGGATTTCTATTTGAAAACCATTCATTCCCAACTTGAATGTTTTCTGTCCAGACCAAGAAGCTATCAGACGTAGAACATAATCTTAGCTTATAAATGCTTTCTGTTAATGACCTTGATACTGTATCTCAAGATGTCTTTTCAAAAACAATATGATTGTGGATAAAAGCAATGATAACAGTCCTGCTTGCCTGTAGAGGAATACATTAATGGTCTTGGACAAATTCTTGACAGTCATAATGATGAGCTGATAATGGAATGCTTTAGAATAAAAATAAAAATACTAGTTTATTTTGAGATGTGTCATGTAATACAAGAAAGATTATTTTTAACAGCTTTATGGAAGTATAATTTATATACCATAAAACTTACCTATTATACATGTAAAATACAAGGTTTTTCACTACATTTATAGACTTGTACGACCATCACCACAATCCAGTTTTGGAACATTTCAATTACCCCCTAAATTTCCTGGAACCCAATTGCAGTCAGTCCCTGCTCTACTCCCAGGACCTGGCAACCACTAATCTGCTTTCTGTATTTATAAATTTTCCTTTTCTATACCTTTCATATAAATAAGCATTTTATTTTACAAATATCAATTTACTTGAATGACTATGTGACACAATTTATGGCTTATTCAATGAAGTTTAGAATGCTAAGGTTGTATTTGGACCCAGGGCATTTGTTGTTATATTGGACACTAAATCTCATTACTGTGAGAAAAGCTCAATTGGCCTGGTTTTTGTTGTTGTTTTTGGAGAATTGAAGCATTTAGTTTTGTGCCTAGATCTGGTATATTAGTGTATTAATGATCTGATTAGCAGTAACAACAGCAGTAGTAGCAGGTTGCCATTTATAGAATACTTACGGTGTGCAGGCATTCTACTGAGGATTAATATACCTTTTCCCTCTAATCTTCATAAAAGTTCTGAAATATAGGGAATAATTGCTCCATTTTAGGGACAGCAAAAGTAAAGCAAGCTCAGAGAAGTTAAGTAATTTGCCTGAGATCACCTGTTGCTGCCTGTGCCTATACTAAGAATGATTAATCTTGAGGTACTCTGGTAAGCAAACTGTATGGCTTCTGCTTTTCTACAGCTTTACAGTTCTATTTTCTTCAGCACTAAGATATATCCTTGAAATAACCTTCCAACTTGGCTTTTTGGCTCCCTGTGCAAATTCTGCCATGAAGTGTTAAAAGAACAGAGTCAACAGGTTAAAGATAAGCACTGATCCCTGAGGTGAATATAGAATTGATCAGAGAGCTGTTTGTGAAATGAGAGAGGCAAAGGGAGAGAAGAGATTTGATTGATGAAATAAAGGAATGGACAAGCATACATGAGAAAAATGTAATACAAAATAACTTTACGGGCTTAGAGAGAAAGGGAGAAATTTCAGTTCTTTAGATGTGCCTGAAGTGATGATTTCGTGAAGAAAGTGGAGGGTTTCAATTAAACCTCTCTTTTGAATAGAAATGATTTTAAAGGAAGAATTCTAATGGGTTCTTGTGCCACTGAGGCTGAAAGCAGATGAAGAAGACGAAATGGTCTCTAAAGTAGGTGGTCCCAACCCCAGTGGGACATAACTGATTTAGGTGGCTGAAGCTAACTCCACTTTGTCTCACTAAGGATCCTGGCTTGCTAACTGGCTGGCTGTGTTCCCCAGAAGCCTTTGCTCTGATGCCTATCAGTCCTGCCTGGTGCAAAGGCTTCTGGGTTATGAGCCAACTGGGGATGCTGCCAAATCTGTTGCTTATTCAGCAGTGAAATGAGGTAGCACTGTTAGCTTGCTTTCTTATTGTGCGGGTACCAGAAATGAAGTTTCAGTGTGAGAGAATAAAGAATAGTCTTACTTTGAGGATTCACTGGAGACTGATAAAGGAATTTCAGAGACAATAAACTGTTCCATGTGTTTACAGTAAGTTGGAGATTTAAGATTCAGTTACAGATTTTTATATTTAAATAAGTAATAGTGAACAAAAGTGAGCAATGTTTGTGGATGGGAACCAGCTTGGATAAATAACTAGGTATAAAGCAATTAGGAATTCAAAATATTAGAGATATACCTATGTATACACATAAACAAAGGATTTAGAGGATTTTATAAAAACGCATGTGATGCAACAGGATTTTCAAAACACACTACGAATCGTTGTGCAGGTTGATACTGTTTCCTTGTGTTTTGTTTGTTTGCAGAATCCAGAATGGTGAGCAAAACCTAAAAGATATAGAGACCCTGCGGTTCTCAAAGTGTGAGCCCTGGACAAACAGCTTCAGCGTCACCTGGGAGCTTGTTAGAAATGCAGATTCTGAGATATCTCTCCAAACTCTTTGAATCAGAAACTCTGGGCTAGGGCTAGCAATCTGTATTTTAACCACCCATCTAGGTGATTCTGACGTGCCTTAAAAGTAGAGAACCCCTGGAATAATATAGGATGGGAATTTAGAGCTGAATGTGGCAGACTGTACATAAACACTATTGGAAGCAGTTTATCCTGGTGCCCAAAATAATGGAGCAGAGATTTTTAGTTAGGAGCTGTCTCTCCTTGCACTTTGCTAGTACTTGGCTTGTTCCCCTCCTTTTCAAGGCTGATCTGCCTTTCACTTCCAGGAGAACTTTTCTGCCCATACCAGTCTGAAATGCTTTGTTTTATGGTATACTATAGGTTTGCATTTCTTTAGGTCTAATATTCTTTTGGTTTTTAATGTCAACTCTTGTTTTTTTAATTATTACTTCATAATTTTTTTTCACATTTTGTGAGGGTGTACATTATATATATGTATGTATGTGTGTATATATATATTTTATATGTATACTATATATAAATACATGTGTGTGTGTATTTTATATATATATTTATATGTATATATACATATATACATATACATATATATGTATTTTATATATATATATACACACACACACACACACACACACACACACACACGCCATGCACTCAGGTACTACTACCTCCCTTCTCTGAACAAGTCACTTTTATCCCATACATTCTTTATTGCATTATCTTACCTTGGTTTCTTGAGAGCACTTAATTACCTGAAAGTATATATTTATTTGTTTCCTTGTGGTTGTTTGTCCATGTAAGCTCACCTTTGTTGATCCAGGCCCCAGGCTTTAGACCCCAGAATGGTGCTTGGCACAGTAGATGTGCAGTGAACAATGAGTGCTGTTTGTCTATCCGGATCTAGGCTCTAAACTACTAGGGGACAGAACTTGTGTCACAACCTTAAATTAGAAATACATATGTAAAGAGACTAGCATAGTATCTAGGGCATAGAAAACACTTATGCAGTGTTTTTTATAAATATATATATGTATATATATTTCCCTTTTATTCTTCTTGTAGCACTCAGCTTCTAACAGTTCTTTGCACTCAGTCTGTACGTGAAGATAGATGAACATAACAATTGAGACAGAGTATTAAATCTTAATAATTAGGAAACAAAATGGAATATATCAGTATTTTCTGTGTTTTCATTCTGTATGGATTACTTATTGAATGGGTCGTGTTTGGTTTTGAGCTATGAATATAAGAAATTCTAAAAATTAAAATACATGCTAAACAATTAAAATCTGTAACATAAATGCATAATTCTTACCTGAAACCTTTGGATCCCAGTGTGCTTTAGAATCCAGATTTTTTTTTTTCTTTCAGGTTTTTGAATGGTATCATGAAAGATACATGTAGAATGGATTCTGTAACATCCACTGGGGGTCTAGGGCAGCGCTCCATAAAAAAACGTATCTACATTTCTTCAGCAAAACATATGGATATTTACTGAAATAGGAAACACAAAAGCTGCCGAAACCCTTGTGGCCAAATTAGGTTGGGTTTTGTGACCAAGTGAGTTTTCTGCAAACGTACAAAGCTTTGGTGTTTAGAGTTTTGATTTTGGCTTTATGTGTAAGGGTTTATAGACCTTACAGTTTATAAGCAAAACTAACATTTATATTTCAGACTGTTTTTCATCTTCAGAAGCTATATTAGTCCACAATTAGCATTTGAGTCACTTGAAGCTTAGGGAAATTAAATAACTTGATCAAAGTCACAGCGTAGTATACAAATAAAAGCTGAATTTGAACTCGGGTCTGGCTGAATCCACATTCCTTACTCTTTTCCCTGCAGAGCACTGATCCTTAAAATCACACATTACAGATAAGAAAGGCTATAAAAGTTGCAAAATGTACCCCCTTCATTATACAATTAATGACAAAGACGTCTGGAGGGTTTATGATCTATAGTAACATCACTGCTAAGAGGCACATTCAGAATCCAGGTCTCTTAATATCTAGTTCTGTACTCTCTCATTTTCCATGCTGACTTTTAGTTTCGGGATGCTTCTAAATTATTGGCCTCAGAAATCATGGTTGTTGCAGAGGTAAAGGCAGTTTTCTTCTAGTTTTTCTCTTCTATATGAGCTCCCAAAATGTTTTGGTCAAACGGTTTGGCTCTCCGTGTTTTTGTAATCAAATACCTAAACGCTGGTAATGCACACTTAACTCAGGTTCAAGCGGGGGACTTTATTTACTTGGGCACAGCTAGAGTGTATTGTAATTCCCTGTTTCCTTAGTTGCCTTGAAGAGTAAAGTAAGCAATTTCATTTAAAATTAATAGCCCCAATCTTATTTTTGCCTTATTCACTTAGGAAAACCTTATAGTTAACAGCAATTGCAGTTATTTTCAGCACTATTTCAAGGGAATTCTTTGATAGCAGCCAGACCGCGTGCCCAGCTTTGCTGCTTTTAGACAAACTCAAGTATTGGCGCAGTGTGATACTCAGTACTGGGGAACTGCATTCTGAGTCAAAGCAAATTAGTTTGCTGTCTGCTTGAGGACTTTACAGATTTACACACCTTCCCAATGAGATTTGTAAGAATAAATTTTTGTAAATCAAGGGTTTGAAGACTCCTAGTGAAATTCACATTTAAGGTAGAAATAGTATTCTTCATTTTATTGAAGTCATATGATTCAGGAAAAATAAATTGAGGACTTTTGGCAGGCTAAAAGGATCTGGAAAACTTTAGATGTATTGTTTTTACCTCTTGTTTCAGAGATAGAAATGTAACATTTTTAATTATGAGCTTTTGTGTTTTGTTTGTGCTTGAATTTATGTGTTATATGCTCCCATCAAAGTTGTGTGTGTGTGATATTATTACATAAGAATTAGAAATATGCAATTCTTTTTATTTAATAAATTTAGTAGTGTTTCTTTTTTTAAATGGTAGATAAAATGAAGGCACAGCAGCTCAAGAGGGATAGAATTGGAAGGAAAGGGAAAGAGGAGGGAGGTGAAAGAAGGAAAGATAGGGCTTTGAAACCGATCCAGGACTCTGTGTAATGAGCTCTTGGTTCCTTATCCCACATTTGTCTGGCCATTGAAGGTAGAAATTAACCCTTATGTTGCATTTGTCCATGAACTAAAGACTGAGCCTGTGTTTAGACACTTAATAATTTTTAGGTCAGTAGCCCAGTTGGCACTCCTACTAGCCTCATGGTTGCAAAAACTGGATAGTTAGTAGACCATGGTGTTTTCTTGTATGGGCTCTGGAGTCAGAGAAACCTGAATTCAAATTCGAGTTTTGACAGTACTTGTGCCCTTTACCTCTCTACACCTTGGATTTCTCATCTATAAAATGGGAGGCAGCATAGTATACCGGGTAAGAGCATGGTCTCTGGAAGTACACCTCCCAGTTGGACTCTCAGGCCTGCCAATTTAATGCTGTGTTACTTTAGGTAAGTTGTTTAACAACTCTGTGCCTTAGGTCCTCCATCTATAAAACAGAGATAATAATAGTGTCCCAGATTTCTGTTAGGAGAATTACACAAGATTATATGTGTAAAGCTCTTAGAACCCTGCCTCAGCAGTTGCTAGGCCTCCTCATCATTCCGCTAGCCCAGTGACTTTCAACTGGGAAAGACTGCTTCCCAAGGGCATTTGCAATGTTCTGGAGGTATGTTGCTTGTCACAACTGAGAAGAGGGTAGATGCCAGGGATGCTGCTATGTATCCTACAATGCACAGGACAGTTTTCATAACAAAGAATTATCTGTCCTAAAATGTCAATAGTGCATTAGCCAGTTTGGAAATCTAGTTCCCTCTACCCCAGGTTCCATAACTGTCCCTCTGGTACCTACAGTGGGGTCTTCCCCAAATGTTAGGTCTCAGCCTAGCAGTCTGTTCCCTGGTATCTTTTCTGGTTGACTCAGATCCTGCCATGGGTGCATATAATGCTGGTTGGCCATCTCAGTGATGACTTTCCTGGGGTAGGGGTCCATATAGGAGGAAAACATGCAGGCTGCAACCTGAGGTTTTTTATTTTTTATTTTTATTGACAGAGTCTTACTGTTGTCAGCTGGGGCTGGAATGATGCAGTAGCATGATCTCAGCTCACTGCAACTTCCGCCCCCTGGGTTCAAGTTATTCTCCTGTCTCAGCCTCCCCAGTAGCTGGGATTACAGGTGCCTGCCACCACACCTGGCTAATGTTTGTCTTTGTAGTAGAGACGGGGTTTTGCCATGTTGCCAAGGTTGGTCTGAAACTCCTGGGCTCAAGCAATTCACCCACCTTGGCTTCCCGAAGTGCTTGGGATTATAGGTGTCAGTCACCACACTCTGCCTTTTTTTTGCATCTTAGTGCTGGTATTAGAGCATTTGTGGCCATCTAACAGACTGATTAGCAGCCCCACTTGCTGTTACTCCCATCTTCTTATCTCCTTTCCGTAGGGTTTTTCTCTTTGTCCAAAGTTCCAAAAGCACTTCCAACAAGGATTGCAGTGCCCGCCCTCCTTCAGAGCAGCTCATCTCCCAGGAATTTTTAATGCAGATTACCCTCCTGATAGACATAGAACTTCAGTTGAATTTTACACTCAACCTTCTGGATGGCCCGCAGGCAGGAATGGACAGAGGCCATTTTCTTCTTCCCGAGAGATTTTTATCTCTCAACTTTCAATGCTTTAACTCTTTTTTGGATCCTGGCATGATTCTTGAGAAATGATAGGTCTTGGGCTAGCTTTTCTGGATCTCCTCCACCCCCAGTTAACTGGAAAAAAACTAGCCTTCTTTTCGTGGGAAGTATCACGGAAAGATCATGGGTTTTTGGGTCCTCTGACTTGTGTTGAAGTTCTCACTATGCCCCTTAGCTCCTATGTGAGCATGAATGGATTATCATTAATTTCTCTTTTATTAGTTTCTTTTTTTCCCTAAAATATCACTAATAATACATGTCTGAGAGATTGTTAGGAGAGATAGTATGCATAGTGTTTATGAGCATGGCCCTTGACATGCAGCTGCGTTTGAATTCAGGCTTTACCACTTTCTAGTTGTAAGTTCCTGGACAAGGTACTTCTCTGTGCCTCAGTCTCATCTTCACATCTATCAAATATGTATAGTACTGCTATCAAAGCATAGTTGTGAGGATTAAATTGGGAACTATATGAGAGTCTTGTTATTTACCTATTCCTTCACCTTTCCCGTGTCCCAGAGGTCCTGAATTGGAGAGAGTGTGGATTGGGTTGTGAGTAACAGAACAGGCCAAGACTAATGCAGGTGGAGCAAGGTGGACTGCAATGGAGCAAAGTGAATTGGTAGAGATATTCCTCTTAAGGACAGGTCACTGAATATGGCGGAAGGATGAAAGAGAGAAAATGTGGGCCTGTGTTAGCCTTTTTTCAGAAGCAATGATGCTTTGGTAAAAGAAGGTATAAATATATGCTTAAACAAAGTACATAACTTTTGACATGGTCTAACAGGGGAACAAATTAACCAACAGACCCTTAAACTCTCAACTTTTTGAAATTGTCAAGCTGTCCATGAAGGACTCTTTACAAGTTTTAAAGGACACCTGTATGTCACGCACATCCTCTTGGTTTCCTTTTAAAATCCCCACATGCCATTCCCCACTTTAAATCCACTTTTGCTTCCAATAGCCTGCATTGGCCACTCTTCTTTAGCGAACTTTCCCTGGGTAACTGATGGTTTTTCAGACATCAAGAAAAACTGGAAGCATTTAGGAGATTCCACCCACCCCAGAGCAAACCTTGCAGTTTCTCACATATGAGAGCACAAAAGCCTAGCTCCCTTGCCTCAGAGAGTTGTAATTTTTCCTCCAGCGTTCCTTGCTGCACTCTGTGAAACACAGTCTATAGAACATTGCCTGAAGTTGCACTTTGCTTGGCTTCTTTTTCTGGGGAACACTCCCTTAATAAATTCTTGCATGTGAACCCTTGTCTCAGGATCTGTTTCTGGGGACTTTAATCTAAAGGAGCCCTTCTCTGAGGCTCGCTTTGTATAGTAGCCTCATACCAACATGAATCCTCATTCCTAAGGAAGAACACCCTGGAGTGAGGGGCAGAGATGGGGGAAGAATTGAAGAAGTTATTTTTACACTTTATACAGTAAGACAAAGCACCCATTTTATAATTTGACATGGCTGTAGGTGGTTGTATTAAATTGTTTTTTCCTTAGATACCAGCATTCAAGACACACACACACACACACACACACACACTCACTCACTCACGTGCTTTTCATTTTAATAACTAGCATTGCAACAATGGATGATTTTCTCTAGTTTAAAGAGGTGTTTGTGGGCTCTCTTGGGAATCTAACTAGGATTTATGTTCCTTATCCTCTGGGAAAATGTGTTCCTAACTTGAAATACTTGACCTGAGGGAAATGGTTTAGTAATGTAGTAGAGATAGATGACCTATATTGAGGTATTTTTTTTAACCCAGGACTCTGTGGAATAAAGTTAATGAGGAAAACATTCTTGTGCCCACCCTGAGCCAGGTACTCTGCTAGATATTGCTAATAAAGAGACCATCATTAGAATATGTTCTTCTCCCTGGAAATGTGTAGGATGTCCTCTTTGTCTCTGCGTAATAAGATTTTTTGATCATACACTTTGCTGTGAGTATAATTTTAGTCATTGTGTTTGGCTCATCATGAGCCCGTTTAATAAGAAAACTTCGTGCCTTCAGTTTGTGTTTATTTTTATTTTTATTTTTTTGAGACAAGATCTTGTTCTGTCACTTAGGCTGGCGTGCAGTGGCACAATCATAGCTCAGCAGCCTCAAACTCCTGGGGTCAAGCCATCCTCCTGTCTCAGCCTCCCGAGTATCTGGGATTCTAGGTATGCACTACCACACCTGGCTAATTTTTATTATTTTTGTAGAGACTGGATCTCACTGTGTTGCCCAGGTTGGTCCTGAACCCCTGGCATTAAGTAGTCCTCCTGCCTCGGCCTCCCAAAGTGCTGTGATTACAGAAATGAGCCATCATACCTGGTCTAGTTTTGTGTGTATGTTTTAAATTACTTAACATATTCTATTGGATAAGAAAATAGGGAGGCCTTAGGAAGGTGAAAATAGGAAATGTCAACTGTAATCTTGAAATGGATGCTGTAGACTTTTGAAATTTATAAGGGAGTATTCTTGAAAATTTAAAATGTCTAATGTTTAGAATGTGGCAATGACTTAAGAAACCACACTCAGCCACTCAAAAGTATGTTCCATGAGATATCCATTTCCTGATTCATTCACTGCCGAATTGCCTGCATTTTTCAGTCCAAATTCTACAATGTCTCCAATATGTAACACAATGAAGTACAAATATCTCCTTGGTTGATAGAATATCAAAATTGCTGCAACTGTTACAGCTGTGACTGCCAATAAGCATAGCCCATAGCCCTTATTTTTAATATATCTATCTTATCAAATAAATATGTTCCTTAAAATAACCAGGCTTCACTAAAGACTTACAGGTAAGAAGCCTTTCAAACCTTTGGTATTAGGACCCAAGTAACTGATGGAGGAAGTGGTGATAGAGTTGTTACCTGTATTTTGAAAGGCAAGACAGGAATGTAGACTCTTAAAGGAAGATGGAGAAAATAACTAACAATTCTAAAGACTTATGAATCTTGCAAGCAAGAAGAACTATACTCTGGGGAGATTAGCCCAATGCTGAGGCATTGCTTAAACAGATTCCTGGGCTGTGAAAAAAGGGTGATTCTGAGTCTATTTACTCTTCTTTCTATGCCTCTTGTCACGAATGCAAAGTGGTTTTGAACCAACATGAGGATGAAGAAGTTTTCACCAAGGGAGTCTCTTCTGGCTTGGTTCTCATCCCTCTCGCTAGGCACTAAGGAAAGTTGGAAATTTTTTTTCCTGTTACTGAATATTTGTGTTTCTACCCCACACGAGAATTCATAGGTTGTAGCCTTAATCCTCGAACCTCTCCTATGACTTTATTTGGAGATAGGACCTATAAGGAGATTATTAAGGTTAAATGACATCATAAAGGTGAGGCCCTGATATGATAGAATTAGTGTCCTTATCATAGAAAGACACCAGAGAGGTCTCTTGCTCTTTCTCTTTCCTTACCATGTACGGACACAACAGGAAGATGCCCATCTACAAGCCCAGGAGAGAGGCTTCACCAGAAACCCAATTGGCTGGCACCTTGATCTTGGACTTCCCAATGTCCAGAACTGTGAGAAATACATCTCTGTTGTTTAAGCCAGTCGGTGTGTGGCATTTGTTATGGCAGCCCAAGAAGACACTAATACAGGTGCCAAAATCAGACTCCAGATTACTTGTCTCATGTTTTGAGAACTTTGTATTCTCCTTTGAGAAGCTAAAATCCTATCATTTTAGTATATGACATGATTTCTAGTTAGCAATGGAAGATTAAACAGATGCACATATTTCCACTCCTTCCCCAAACATCCATGAAATAATGAGTATTTTTTATAAAAATGCTCAATTCTATAAGGATAAAAACCAAACAGAGTTGGAGATCATAGTGAGAACATGTTGGAAGCTGAAAAGGATGGAAGAGAGAGAAACTTCTGATTATCAGACCAAATAAAACTAAAATGCTGAGAAGCGATTGGATTTTTGTTGTTCAACTTCAGAAAACATAAGGACTGGAGTCACCAGTTACCCCTGGGCCTGGGGTAAAATTGAGGCTAAAAATAGATGAATTGATTAAAATGTGTTTAAGAATTAGTAAGACCTCAGATCCCCTCCCTGGCTTTGAGAAACTGGGCATCTGCCCAGTGGCGTGCTGGCAAATACTTAACAACTAGGTCTCAAAATAGTTGTGATTTGTGGTATTTGCCAATTTCTGTGGAGTAAATACCACCATCATGGCCAATGTCAAGCTACTGCATGACATCACTGAATGCAGAGTTGGGAAGAGATGTGAGTAGCACACCTCGTGTAGTAGAAATACAATATGCAAGTGACCTCAAAAGCATAAAACATAGTATAATAACTAGTAAGTGATGAATTTCTTTGTGTTTATTACCTTTGTTTTAATATAAATTTATTTAACTGCATATTTGTATAATTTACTTTTAAATAATGACAGTGTTTAACAATCAGCATGACAACTTCCAAAAATTTAACAACCTGCTCTTGTGAGCTGGAGGACAAATTGACTCCTATAAACTACCACAGTAGTTTCTTCTCCATTCTGGCAAGACTGGATATTTATTACTGTAAGTTTAAAATAAAGGGTCTCTGGAGTTGGAAAAAAAAAACAGGCAGAATTAAAGGCAGAGTCTTTCAACCTAAAAAGTTAGAATGAAATGGAAGTTCATAAGTGAATTTAGAAATTTCCTAGTTCTTATTTCCCATTCGGCTCCTGTTACACTGGAAGCCAGACACATTCCCTCTTGGTAAGAGACTGGAAGCATCTTTTCTGGGAAAATTGACCCACTGAAAGAGTGGACAAACTCTAAAGGTTTTGACATTGAGAGTCCACAAGGAAACACACTAGGTAGATCAGTCTGTTGCAAGGACCATAGTTAACAAGCCCCATCTATGTGAACAGGGCTTCAAATCAGCACTTTTAGTGATGCAAACGTAAGCATCTTTCAGGGTTCACAAAGTATTTTGGTGAAGCAAATAATGTAAAAGAGAAACACACACACATACACACACACAGAGACAGAAAATTGCTACTTGGAGGAGACAAAGTATGCATGGAGAGGAAACTTTTTAAAGCAATCATCTACCATAAATAACTTCAGACAGATAAGAGAAAATAGTATATGAATGGAACAAGAAGAGGATACTGGTAAGAGAGAAAGAAAAACTGGCAGAGCACAAAACCAGCTCTTGGAAATGAAATGAAAAATATTATAGCAGAGTGAAAAACTCAATTAAGATATGGAATTGAGAAAATCTTCTAGAACATTGAACAAATGGCTAAATATTCAAAAGTAAAAAAAAAATAGTTAGAAAATGAGAGTGTTCATCCAAGATATTCAATAGAAAAAGAGAAGATCCATAGAAGGGGGTCATTAAAGAAAAATCCAAGAAAACTTCCCAGAATTGAAGGACAATGTTTCCAAATTATAAAGGCCCAGTAAGGGCCCAACATAGTGATGAATTAGATCCACTAATGAAGGCATTTGATCATGAAATTTTAGAATACTGGGCAAGCTTCAAGGGGAAATATATTTCTATTCAAAGGATTAAGAAGCAGAATGACTTTATATTTCTTCGAGCTAAAAAAAAGCTGAGCAGTGTCCTCAAAATTCTCAAGAAAAATGAATTTCCCAACATAGAATTCCGAGCCCAATAAAATTGTCACTGATTGTGATGATAGACCGAAGACATTTCTGATAGTTTAGCTCTCAAAAATTTTACCTACTTTACACGCCTTCTCTGAAATGTAATAAAGGATGTGCATCACCAAATAAGAGGGAGGAGGGGGTCAAGAAAGTGGGATCCGGATGAGCTGAATCAAGAGTGAGGTGACAAGAAAACTCAGGTTAACAGGCAGGAAGTGTCAAGCTTCAGGAGCTCCTGATCCTGACTGAAGCAAAGCCAGTATCTTTGGGAGTGACTTCATGTAGATGAACTTGATAGCATACCTACTAGGTATGAATAAATGTATTGAGAGGAAAGCGTCTGGAGTAAGTACATACACAACTAATTACCTAAAACAGAAATGAACACAAAAACAACAGCTGCTAACAATCAGAAAACAAAATGCTCTTCAGAAAAGGACAATTACTCATAATGTACTGCATGGATTGGCTATGAAGGACATTTATAGAGTCATAACAATGTGAGCATTCAGTAATGATCTCACCACATTTGATATTTCATAGAACTGGGAGGAAGACATAGATGGGAAGTCTGTGTGTTTGTTTGTGTGTATATGAATGTGTGTGTAGTAGGAGTGGCAGGAAGGGGAAAGAGGGCTGAATCATTTTCTTCTATAGTAGCAAGTAAATAGATAATTCCTAAACAGAAAACAAACAGTAGCAATATAAATATGTTAGTCAGATATAGGAGACAGAAAAAAAAATCATCCCCCACAATTAAAAGTGGTTATTTCTAGGGTGCAGAATTTGGGTCCAGAGTGGGAAACTGCTGTTGTAACAAGCCTTATGGAATGGTTTGACTCTTTGTACAATCTTCACATATAACTTTGCTAAAAACAAAACCCAAATTAAACTGTATATTGTGATACTGAAAGGCATTACTGACAAAATGCGTGACAAGAGATAGTTGTATATAAGATGTAAGTACGTTAAGACACTGAGAGGAAGTGGAAAGCCTTTGGAACATATTTTTGATGCTTCTGAATAAAGCTGCAGTCTTTCCTTTTTTCTTGAGATGGAGTTTCACTCTGTAGCCCAGGCTGGAGTGCAGTGGTGCGATCTCTGCTCACTGCCACCTCCACCTCCTAGGTTCAAGTGATTCTTGTGCCTCAGCCTCTGGAGTAGCTGTGATTACAGGGGGCGCTACCACACCTGGCTAATTTTTATTTTTATTTTATTTATTTATTTATTTATTTATTTATTTATTTATTTATTTATTTTGTGATGGAGTTTTGCTCTTGTTGCCCAGGCTGGAGTGCAATGACACAATCTCGGCTTACTGCAACCTCCACCTCCAGGGTTCAAGTGATTCTCCTGCCTCAGCCTCCCAAGTAGCTGGGATTACAGGCGGGTGGCACCATACCCAGATAATTTTGTATTGTTTTAGTAGAGATGGGTTTTCACCATGTAGGTCAGGCTAGTCTCGAACTCCTCACCTCAAGTGATCACCCACCCCAGCTTCCCAAAGTGCTGGGATTACAGGCATGGGCCACCGCACCCAGCCCTGGCTAATTTTTGTATTTTTGGTAGAGATGGGATTTCACAGTGGTGGCCAGGCTGGTCTCGAACTTCTGGCCCGAAGTGATCTGCCCACCTCAGCCTCCCAAAGTGCTGTGATTGCAGGTGTGAGCCACTGCACCCAGCCCAGTCTTTCCTTTTGAAAAATGTGTTGTGTTATATTTAATTAAAATGTATTCAAGTGTAATTTATGGATAAATTGAAAAACATTCTGGAGCAAATAAAGATGCAAAAGGATATGTATAATGTGACACCATTTATGTAAAATCTCCAAATGCAAAATGGTATAATTTATTGGTTATACAGTGTAATTTTAAAAATCTCTATTAGACTGATCTCCTACCTTGGATGTGTGGTATTATGTGATGAAGGAGGGAGATAAAAGGTGTGGGAAGTGAGGTGCTAGCTATATCAAATTCTTTTTGTTTCAAAGACAGTGCACGAAGGGAGAAAAGAAGGTTGAGTCAAATATTACAAAATGCTAAAATCTACAATATTGAGTAGTAGTTATATGGATGTCTATTATTTTTTGTAATTATCTGCATCTTTGAAATGTCTTATAACTTAACAAAGGAATAAATGAGGACTGGTAGTCAACAAGCTGTTATCCTAAACCTGGAGAGTGGGGACACATAGACATTAAAATTTTTTTCCTTTTATTTATAAAAATAATTTTAAAAATTGATTCTGAGTCTGATGACATATAATTACTATAACAATCAATTTTATTGAAAATGTTACTACTTTTGCCTTCATATTGTTTGAGGACACAACATTAAACATAAACTAAACTTTGAATATGGATATTCAAGGTTTAGTGCCCCATGGCCCTTACCTGGAAGACAAATTAGAGCAAAATTAATGAGTATATGATTTTGTGTAACAGACAATTCAATTCAATAAGTAGTTATGAAATTCCTACTTTATAAGAGACAAGACAGAAAAATAGCAATGAGCAATCAGGGTTCTGTTTCCCAACATGATTTCCACTCTGGGAAAGGATGAAGTAGAAAGTAATTGTTAGGTGAGCGCCCTAGAATCAGATAATGGGGTTGAGTTAGCTGAGTTATTTAATTCTATGAAAGTTAATACTGAATTTTGGATGAGTTATTAAGCCTCTCTATGCCTCAGTTTCCTTAATGTAAAATAGCAACAAGAATACTATACACCTCACAGGATTATTGCCATCAAATTAGCAAATTCAGATCAAAATACATGTTTCTGTGCCTGGCATAGAATTATGGTAAATTCTCAGTAAATGTTAGTGTGATTGAAAATTGTGAAGACATTAGCATCACCACCCTCGGGAGAATACATCATTTAAGACACGATGGTTCAGCTAGAGAAACAGATGTACACAGCTTTACGTGAGGAAGAATTCTTTTTTTCGGGACTGAGAAATTCCAAGAAACTCCCTAATGAAATTTAAGCTTGGAATTACAACTTAAGTCAGCTTCATGGACTAGCAATTTCTTAAGACATCAGCACCTTTCTTAGAGGGGAAAAGTCTGTGCCCGCCTTGCTCAGATTCACTCAGATCTTGGCCTTTCTTCAGCAGCAGAGACAGATAAAGTCCCACCATGGAGCCAGCCAAAAAGTGAGCATGAATCCCCAGATTGAAGGCCTTTTTACCTCTGGAAGACTTGTAAAATGAAGCCAGGGAATAGAAAAACAAATTAAGTTGTGGTTTGAATATGTCACTGAAATGCTATGTGGACAACAAAACTTCATGGTGGGGACATCAGAGAGATAAATTTCATAGTGCCTGGACATTCATTCATTCATCAAGTGTTTAGTGAGCACTTAACTATCTGCTTCCCAACAAGCATGATGTCAGGGACACAATAGTGAACAGACAAAAGTGTTAGTTTTTATTAAGCTCACAGAAGCTGAAGAGATAGACAAACAATAAAAATAAAATACAAGTAAGTGAATGCAGATGGTAACAAATGTTTTGAATGAATGAAACAGCTTACTGTTAATGATTGAGTGGGGTAAGAGGATGGACTAATTTAGACTGGAGAGTCTGGGAAGGACTTTTATTTGATCTGAGATTGTACTTATTAAAAGGGGGTGGCCATGAAATGATCTGGGAAGAAAGAGCAAGTCCAAGGGCCCTAAGGTAGGAACAAGCTTCGTGTACATGAGGGCCAGCAGGGCTAGAGCACAGTGAGTGAGTGGGAATGCGGTGGGACACAAGGTAAGGAGTTGGGTAGACATCAGCTCTCGTGAGGCTAGGTAGAAGCTTGGATATTATCCCAATGCAATAGCAAACACTGCGAGGATTTTATAGTGGGGTGCGATATTATATGATTCACAAGTTTAAAAGGATTATTTTCCCATCTCAAGAAACTAGAAAAAAATGAGAGTAAATTAAACCCATAGTAAGTAAAAGAAAGGAAGTAATAAAGATCAGATTAGAAATTGATGTAATAGAAAATAGTAAAAACAATATAAAAAATCAATGAATCTAAAAGTTAGTTCTTTGATAGGATCAATAAAACTGATGAACCTCATCTGGGCGCGTTCATGCCTATAATCCCAGCACTTTGGGAGGCCAAGGCAGGAGGGTCACCAGGAGTTTGAGAACAGCAACACAGTGAGACCCCATATCTACAAAAAACTGAAAATATAGCTGGGCATGATGGCATGTTCCTGTAGTCCCAGCTACTTGGGAGGCTGAGCTGGGAGGGTATTTTGAGCCTGGGAAGTCGCAGTTTCAGTGAGCCATGACTCCAGCCTGGGCAACAGAGCAAAACCCTGTCTCAAAAAAAAAAAAAAAAAAAAAAAAAGATAAAACTTTATAACCAGACTTAATCAGCAAAGAGGGAGAAGACACACAATATCAATGTCAGAAATGAGAGAGAGGCATTTTACAAATTTCACAGATATTATGAGGATAATAAGGAAATTTTTTGAACAACTTTATGCCAATACATTTTACATGAAATTTACTTACGTGAAATGGACAGATTATTTAAAAGGCACATACTACCAAAGCTCACTCAAGAAGAAACAGGTGACCTGAACAGCAGTGTATCTATCAAATAAATTAAGTTTATATTTAAAAACTTCCAACAAAGAAAACTATTGATCCAGAGGGCTTCACTGGTACATTCTACAAAACATTCAAAGAAGAAACAATGCCAATTCTGTACACACTCTTACAGAAAATTGAAAAGGAGGGGATATTTTTGGCTCAATTTATGGGATCTGAATTACCTGATATGAGAAAGAGAAGGGAATTAGAAGGGAAGAAAACTATAGACCAAGATGCTTCATGAACATAAAATGCAAAAACTCTAGCAAATTTTAGCAAATAGAATCTAACAAAATTAAAAAAAAAAAGATAATTCTTCATTATCCCCACTGGTGTACATCCCATGAATGTGAGATTGGTTTACCATTTGAAAGTAAATCAATGTAATTTACCAAATTAACCAGCAAAAACAAGCAAAACAAAAACAAAAACAAATCAAAAACACTATATGATCATCTCCATTGGCACAGAAAAGGCATTGGACTTAAGCCAGTACCCATTCCTGCTGAAAGCTCTCCACAGGAATAGAAGGGAACACTCTTAACTTCATAAAGGGCAGTTACAAAACCCCCACAGCTAACATCATACTTAATGGTGGGCGATTGAATATTTTTCCCCTAAGATCAGGAGCAAATGAGGATGCCTCTCTTTCCACTTCAGTTCAACATTGTACTGGAGCTTCTAGCTAATGTGATAGGCAAGAATAAAAAGTATATTTATATTGGAAAGGATGGAGTATAAATAGCTTTTTTTCAGGCAATATTATCATCTAAGTAGAAATTCAGATTGATTATATAGAAAAGCTACTAGAACTGGGAAATGAGTTTAGTAAGATGCAGGATACTACATCAATATGCAAAATGTATTTCTCTATATACACTCAGAAATTGAAATATATCTCTTACAATATCATAAAAATATAAAACACTTAGTGATAAGTGTGACAAAAGTTGTAAAAAACCTGTAAACTGGAAACTACAGATCATTAATGAAATAAATTAGAGAAAAATAAGTAAATGGAAATATAAAATACATTCATGTGCCATTCATAGTATTGTTGTCAATTCTTCAGAAAATTGATCTATAGTTTTAGGGCAATCCCAATAAAAAACCAAGGAGGCATATTTGTAGAAATTGATAGACTAATTTTAAAATTCACATGGAAATGCAAAGGACTTCAAAATAACCAAAAAATGTTTAAAAAGAAGAAAAAAGGTGGAGGACTAACACCACTTAAGGTTTATTATAAACCTTCAAGAGCATAGCTGTGTGGTGTTGGCATAAATATAGGCAAATAGAATAATGGAACAAAATAGAGAGTCCAGAAACCGACAACTGCCCCCCCAACACATATATAGATACATGATTTTTGACAAAAGCGCAAAGGCAATTAAGTGAAAAAGGGATATTCTTCAAGAAACAGTGAGTGCTGGAACAATTGGATATCCACCTGCAAAAATATAAACCTTACCTCACCTAATACAGAAAGATTCAAAATGGACCATAGACTTGAATGTAAAACCTAAAACTACTAATAAAGTAGTTTTATATGTAAACCTTCCATCTTTTAGAAGAACACATAAGATCAAAACTTAGCGCACTTGGGTTTGAGCAGGCAAATATTTCTTATGACAACAAAAGCACAATCCATAAAAGAGCAAATTGCTAAATTGAACAGCATCAAATTAAAAACTTCTGTATTTAAGAAAGAATAAAAAGGAATGTAACAGACTGGGATAATGTTTTGGAAATAAAGTATCTGATGAAGGATTTATATCCAAAATATGAAAAGAACCTCAAAATTCAAAAAGAACAACTAAAAAAATTGGCAAATGTTTAAACAGACATTTCACCAAAGAGGATATATGAAAAGCAAATAAGCATATGAACAAATGCTCAACATCATTAGTCACTAGAAAAATGCAAACCATAATGTGAATCATTAGAATGATTAATATTAAAAGAATGATCATACTAAGTCAGAAGAAACGAACTTATACACTGACGGTGGGAATGTAAGATAATAGAACCATTATGGAAAACATTTTGACAGTTTCTTTTTTTAAAAAAACTGTTAAACATACATCTACCATGAGATCCACCGATTCCACCCCTGTGTATTTACCCAAGAGAAAAACAAAAGATGTTCACATGAAGACTTGTGGGGTGTCCATAGCAGATTTATTTGTAATAGCTAGAAACTGGAAACAATGCAAATGTCTATCAACAGGTGAATGGATAAAGAAACTGTGATATATGCACACATGAAATACTACTCAATAATAAAAAGCAATAAGCTGCTGATGCACACTACAACCTGAATAAATTATGCTAGTGAAAGAATCCAGAAACAAAAGAATATATACTGTTTAATACCATTTATACAAAATTCTAGAAAATGCAGACTAATCTATGGTGACAGAACAAACCGGTGGTTGCCTGGGATGGAGAGAGGAATGAGTGGAAGAGGCTACAAAGTGTCAGGAGGAAACCTTTGAGGGGAGTGAGATGTTTATTATCTTGACTGTGGTGATGTTTTCATTAGTATAAACATATGCCAAAACTTATCGATTTATATATTTTGTATATTATATATTTGTGTATATTTTATACAAAATTTTGTATATTTTATTGCACATCAGTTGTATCTAAAGAGAGCTGCTAAAAATTAGGACTAGCTCATTCTAGGGGTTAAATAGAGAATGAACTGTGAGGGAGAGGATGAAACTGAAAGCCCAACTGCGGAATCCACTTAAAAGATGAGAGTAGCAGCAACTTGGTGATAGCTGAGCAAATGGGAAGGAATGGACTGCCATAGTAACTGTATGTGAAATTAATTTATCTCCATAGTCAACCCTCTAACTGTATTTGAAAAAGCATAAAGAAAGGGGAGAGTTTTTTGTCATCCCTGTATTGGATTTACAAGTACACTTCAATGCCAAGGAAAGGTGCAGATAGATGAAGCTGTGTGGTTCTTTGGGGGAATCCTGAATATTTCAGTTCTGGTGAAGTACAGAGTTGATAGTGTAGGACTGGAGAGGTTTGGAAATGTAGAACTGAGCCCAGCTGTGGAGAGCCTTGCATTTTACTACTTTATGCAGTAGGTGGGCAGTAAAGAACCATTAAATCATTTAATTAGGAAAGTTACCTTGTTGATTTTTTAAATTAAATTAAATTATTGTTTATATTTTTAAATTTTTTGTGTGGGCACATAGTAGATTTATATATTTATGAGATACATGAGATGTTTTGATACAGGCATACAGGGTGAAATAAGCACATCATGAAGAATGGGGTATCCATCCCCTCCAGCCTTTATCCTTTGTTACAAACAATCCAGTTACCCTGTTGATTTTTGGAGGAGATTACTTTGGAGCTATTTGTAGGATGCCCTAAACTTTGGAGGATGTTTTAGGCAGGGAGACAAGGTAGGGGAAGCTAATGAAGTAAGGATGGAAAGATGATTGATGCAAAGGGACTACCTATTGGACTTGTGAGTTGATACTGAATGGTGGGTGAGAAGAAGGGGAGCCTTCACAGTTGGGCAATAGCAGGATGCAGGATGCTTATAAGAGTTGCTGAAATCCAATAAGTTTGTGTGCATTTCTAAGGGACTTGACTTTCCACTAAATTCTTTGTTTGATTCATTCACATATTTTAAAAGAGATATTTACAAAGCTCTCTGATGAAGTTAGCACATGAAGAAACTGAAGTTCGGAGAGGTGTTTTTACCCAAAGGTAGAAAACTGCAGAGCCAAGAACAGAGAATAGTTCTTTATTTTCTCCTGATCTAAAGATCTTTCTTATAAAGCCACAGTGTATGTCAAGAATGAGCAGTAGGGGTGCTACTTCTTGCCATGCTCTTGCCATGCTACTATGCACCACCTACAGAGCCTATCTGAATTGTTGTAGTTTTCTTTATTTTGTGCTGAAAGCATTGTTTTATGGATGGCGTGTAAGGTAGGAAATAGGTTAAGTACAGTAGTATGTGTGTTTTATGTTAAAGACAGTAAAGAACTTTTCCTCCTAGTAACTGGTCTTGTCTTATTTACCTTTCCTGGGTGAAGGAGTTCTGGCAGTTGCGGTCTCAAATCATCATTGAATTGCAGTGGTAAGCACTAGCTAGCTTACATTTAATACTTTTAAAACATGTACTGGTTTCCTAGGAAACAATGCCTTGACTACTGTAAACCAAACTTTACCATAGATACTAGTTATACAATTTCTCAGCAGAAAAAAAGCTTTCGGGTTTTAACACAGAAATAAAAATGTAGGTTGTTGGAATAGTATATGCCGCTTTTTCTAGTTCAACAAAGGAGACCAAAAAAACCCCACAACCTCAAAATAGATCCTTCCACTAAAAATAAATATTATATATAATACAGATCTTGCCAGATTTTATCATCCTCATGAATTTCTGAATCTGGAGTCTCTTTTTTGCCTTTCATTAGATTCATAATAACATTTGCCAGAAATGTTGCTAGTTAAAATTTACAAAACTATTGTGACATATGAGGTTTGAACTAGATCTGGATGTATTATGGAAATAGATGTGATGATTAAAGTACCAGACTAGTTTCTTTTGTTCGGATATTTAATTTTTATTGTATATTTGGAAAATTAGGATAGGGTGAAATTAGGAACTATATGCAGCATTTTAAATTTTCAGTCTTCTTTAGTTCACTCTTAAACACATGTATGTCCATAATGTTATGAGTTTAGTGTCGACCATGTTAACTAATTTCCATTTTTCCAAATTCATATGAATGCTAGACTAGTTTGACATAGTATATAGAAAGATGTTTGAAAACACTGTTAGCATATTATGGTGCTATTCAATATACCAGGTTGTATTCAGCAGAAATTGGAATAAAAGATTGCAAAAGCTCTATGGGCTTCAACTAGGCAGAAGGAGACTTTAATTTTGATTCAACAGCTACCAAAATCCCTCATTAGCTGATGACATGGAACAATGATTTTACACCTCTGTGCCAACTCCCATTTTCTCATAAACTACCAGACACCCATAGGCTTTGCTTTTCTGATATGCATCGCAATGTGCTGGAAAAAGCATTTAGCTTTGTAGTAAAATAGACATGGATACTGATTCAGTCACTAGTGAGTGAGGTTCAGAGAAGTTAAGTGACTAACTGAAAGATGCACAGCTAGTCAGTAGCACAGGTAGAAACAGGAGCTAGTTTTCATGAATCTTCAATCATGCCAATGCAGTTGCCACTATATTTTTATGCCTTTCTGTTCCTTCAGAGTTTTTCAATTGAGCATAAGGGTGGCAGTGTGTTATTCAGGGTGTTATCTGTGAATAGTTATTATCCCACCAATGAAACCAACCAGAGCCATCTTCTCCCTAGCTGCCCTTCCCACTTCTTTGTTACTCCTTTATCTTATGTTGTTCCTCACAGGAAAGAAAAGTTATCAAGTAAAAACTGTTCAGTGTTTTTAAATTGACATCTATACATGTGTAGAGAGCAACTAATCTTTATGAGGGAGATCCTGTTTAAAATACAAACAATGAAATTTTGCAGTTTGCATAGTCAAATTACATTAGCATGTTGTATATAAGTAGAAAGGAACTGTCTTAAGCATAAACCAGCCAAAGCAGTAGGAATATTTTGAGCATTCTATTTAAAAAAAAAAAAAAAAAAAAACTAAAAGAAGAGGAAAAGTGAAAGCCTCAATAAAAAAATGTCATTTTTGCCAAACATAACTCAATTCCATTGAAAGTAGCTATTTCTGTAGTAGCAGTTGGCGTTGCACCTATGAGCTTCACACTCAGAACATGAGATGCATTTAGGGAAGGGGGATTTCCAGGGGAGCACTTCAGAAAAAGTCAGCCTGTAAACGTGTGTGTGTGTGTGTGTGTGTGTGTGTGTGTGTGTGTGTGTTGCTTTGATCATTTTAACTAAAACTGTGTTTCTTTCCTGCCTCATAGTTTAATTAATTGATTTCCTTAGCTCAGAAACAAACTAGCATTTAACATCTTCCAGTATATAGCTTCACTTTGCTTATTCACTTCTGTTCCTTGTTGTCTTTCAACGTGAAGATTATACTCTAGTCAAACTTCCTTTAATACTACATTGCTCCTATACGACATGATTTAGGTTAAATATGCAAAAGAACATACTGATATGAAAGCTAGGGAGGTTGTGGAAACTCTTTCAGGAGAGTTTTTAGATAGATTATTTTCTGTGCAATAAAGAGTAGAAATAGCTTCATTGATATATTTTGTTTTGTTTTGTTTTGTTTTGGTGATACTTTCCAACTCTGTGATTTCCTAAAGAAAGTCAGTCAGCAATTTGTCAGTTGTATTGATTGTCTGCTACCCATGAGTGACTCTGTGTGTGTGTGTGTGGATGTGCACATGCCTATGTTTAGAGGACAAAGTGTGAAGGGGAGGGGGACAAGGTGGGAAGGGGAACAAGAGAAATATAAAGGTAAATAACACTTTTCCTTTTTTCAATTATTCCTTTTTTCAAACTTTTAAAAAAGAACCTGGAAGCAATCAAGTAGATAACATCAACTAAAATGTGTGGAACTGGTATTCTAAGTGGTCATTTACATAGAAAATGTTTTGATTTTCCTGAGGATAGAGGAGGAGGCAGCTTTATTATTTTTTTCTGACTGGTGTACTCTTTTCAGCTGGACAGTTACTGAAGTGTATTGAGGGGTTAGATAAGGTGCATGCTAAAACATTGTATAGGTTTCTACAAATGACTTGGAGCCCAAGTAAATGGGCAATTAATTTCTGCATTTTAAGTATTTATCAATATAATGGTATTTTATCCTGGAAATTTGGTTATTACTGCTGGATTAATGGAAACTAAAACTTATTTGAATATTTGTTTTGGCTTATCCAATGAGTATTTATGTGCAATATCTGATATATTATGTGCAAAGTAAAGAGAAGCATACATCTAAAGATTTAAAGAAAGAGGCCAGTGCAGTGGCTCATGTCTGTAATCCCAGCATTTTGGGAGGCTGAGGCGGGCAGATCACGAGGTCAGGAGTTCGAGACTAGCCTGACCAACATGGTGAAACCCCATCTCTACTGAAAATACAAAAATTAGCTGGGCATGGTGCCACACACCTGTAATCCCAGCTACTCAGGAGGCTGAGGCAGGAGAATCACTTGAACCTGGGAGGCAGAGGTTGCAGTGAGCTGAGATCAGGCCATGGCACTCCAGCCTGGGAGATAGAGCGAGACTCCATCTCGGGGCGGGGGGAGGGAAGATTTAAAGAAGGAGAGATGTTACAATAATGTTCCTTTAAACATATATATATATAAAACAAATGTGAAAGGGGGAGAGACAGAGAGAGAGAGAGAGAGAGAGAGATCTGTCGATAATTGATGAGATTGTTCTTTTCAGCCAAATTTGGGAGAGGTAGGATGGAGGTGCTAGACCCTAATAAATGAATGTGAGGGGGTAATTTGTAATGTAAGAATGATAAAGAAGAAGGCTGGGTGTGGTGGCTCATGCCTGTAATCCCAGAATTTTGGGAGGCCGAGGCGGGAGGATCACGAGGTCAAGAGATAGAGACCATCCTGGCCAACATGGTGAAACCCCGTCTCTATTAAAAATACAAAAATTAGCCAGCGTGGTGACGCGCACCTGTAGTCCCAGCTATTCGGGACGCTGAGGGGGGAGAATTACTTGAACCTGGAGGTGGAGTCTGTGGTGAGCTGAGATTGTGCCAATGCACTCCAGCCTGGATGACAGAGTGAGACTCCATCTCGAAAAAAAAAAAAAAGGAATGATAAAGAAGTAGTACCAAAATTCCTTTTTAAGAATTGTCATAGTGCAAACATAGAGAAGAAATCAGGGGCAAAGGGTAGCAATGGAAAGTCAAGACAATGTTGTTCTTGTAGAGGAGACCGAGTACATGTATAGGCTGGGCGAAGGAGAGAGCTTCACTGTAGGGAGGCAGTTCTGGTGTGGTGGTGGAAAAGTACTGGGCTTTCACTCAACAGATTTGGAGTTTTTTCTCAACTCTGCCAGTCGGTAACTAATTGAGAAAGGTGAGTAATTTGCTTAATTTACTTGAGGCTCAAATTAAATAACAAATGTGAGGTCAGTTTGTGAATGGTAAAATGCTGCATCAATAATGTGGCATTATCCACGGTAGACTGGCGGAACATATAAGCACTCTGCCCCTCTGAATTATTTCAACCATGCATTTCCTGCCTCTTGAAGAAGAGAAACAAAACAGAGGGCACTGAAATGATTTGCACCTCACTCAAAATGAGTAGAATGTAATTATAATCCCTTCGAAGAACTAGAACTCTTCAGTCCCTGAAGACACGGCTTATTGGGCTTCTGTATGAAATGAAGGACATGGACTAATCCTGGAAGGACATTCCAGTAAATTTGGGATGAACAGTATTCATGTATCATGGGGATTAAAGCCATTTGAAATCAACATGCAAGGAGGTGAATGTTAATATGATGCAAACAGAATACAGAAAAGCTGAAGTTGAGGAAGTGAACAGTAAAAGGTGTCTGCAGGAATTCTTACAGGAATTGAATTCTGAGCTAGATTTGGAGGAGGAAAGGCAGGAACTGGTGGGATGATGGTAGGAAGCATTTCCTCTGAAATCCCTGGAGGGGGCTGAGTTCAAGATGTAGTTAATAGACCAGTGGGAGATGATGGGAGAGAGGGTGGAAGGCTGGATCAAGATGGTAAGATCTGATACCATGAGCAATATTGAACAGCGGGGGAATTCCTGAGCAAGAAGATGGCATTGCTATCAGAGGAAGATTGTTCCACCCTTTGGCATCTCTGTGCAGGATGAGTAGAGGTGGGAGCCTGGAGAATCAGATAAGTGGCTGTTGAAGGCATGGGGTAACAGGGTTGTTGGAGGCTGTGGAATCATAAGAGGGAATGGGTAGATCTGAGAGATAATGGAGAAACGTACTTGAAATGTGACATTTTTAGTTAACCTGTACATGACCATTTGTTCTGCTCTCTCTTATTGTGGAGCCAATTTTGAGGAAGTAATATTTCTGTATTGTAATGAACATGGAAATGCTTCATGGGTATTCCCCAATTTCAGTTACCCTGTATCCTAATTATAGAGAACCTGGACTCTTAAACACAGCACAGCATGGTCTTTCACTCTGGTACAAAGCAATCATAGGTCTGCTTTTGCCATGGGTCCCATAATGCTTCTTTGTGCACAGTATGGTGAAATTCTCCTTATTGGGAAAGTCCATAATGGTGTTACATTCTTGTTATATTCTATCAACATTTTAACCAGTTATCTTGCTCCTCATGTGGTAGCACTTGTCAAGCTGTATTTTTTCACAGGCAATAATTGAGGTCTTGGCTGATGAAGCAAATGGCCTAATGAGTAATAATCACATATTTGGAATGTACACGATGAGCCAAGCATGTTGCTACGCACTTCATGGGCATTATTTATGGTGCTTACCACGGTTTGTTGAATGCTTACTATGTCCCTAGTACTGTGTGGGTACTGTGTGTGTTTGATATGGGTAATCTTATGTAATTTCCACAACAATTAGGAAGTGGATAGCATTCTTTCTTCCATTTCATAGATAAAGGAGACAAGACAGAGTTCTAATGGAGGCATTGCTTTACTACAGAAGAAACAATTTTTGATAGCTTTGTAAGAAAGCTATGCTCATATAACATACCTTATTGATTCCTTAAATAAAATACATTATGTAACAGCTCTCAACGGAGTAAAGATGGGATGTGGCTGAGCTTTTAAGTTGTTTTCTTAAACATGATTGCAGTTCTATGTTTAAAAATGAGTCAAGAACATCTGCTTCTTTCTAGGGAGATATTCCATGGCTTCTTAACAACTGCTCTAACTTTTGTGGCAGCTGTCTGAAAGTTAGCTGTCTCTTGAGGCAGTGATGTCTTTATCACTAGGGGGTTTTCACTAAAATCTCAGTGATGACTTGCAGATGTCATAGATGTTGGATGAGGGGAAGGGAAGTTGAATTACATGGCATTGGAGATCCTTCCTAACCCTGAGAGTCTTTGAGGTTCTAAGTTCCATTAAAACTATTTCAGGACACAGTTAAGAGCAGAGCAGCAATCTTTAGGTCAGTGTTTTATGGCATTTGGCCAAAGGCCATTTAAAAGTTGATGGAGCAAAGAGAAGTGGATATAATGGGATTTTGAAAAAAAATAAAAAATAAAACAAAAAATAACTTCCTGTGCAAAAGCAGATTACTTTTAAGGGTAAATTTTAGAAAAGGAATCCTCAGATCAATATAGTGCCATGCCATTTTAATTATAGAAAGTAAATTAATATCTGCTCTTTAAAAAAGACAGTTAAAATGGTTCTAAAAGTAATGTTTGAATTCAGTGAGTTTCTAAATTAGCTTAAATTCTTAAGAAACCATTAAAAATGATAATAACTCTGTTTATTATCATTACAGAAAGCTTTCGTATAGTACTTTTATCTGTGCCAAATACTGTACTAAATGTTTTCCATGAATTTTCTCGATAATTTCTACACTAACACCATGAGATAGGTATTCTTATTAGCATCAGTTTTTCGAATGAGTACTTCAAGTTTCAGGAAAGTAAAGAAACTTCCCTGAAGACAGTATCTCAATTAGAACACAGTTCTGATTCCTACGTCTTCCCTCTGCAACCTACTGTTGTTCTATTCGTCTCTGCAGAATATTCTATTTAATTTACAGTAAATGACTATAGCTGTTGTGCCTATTTATGGTTTAGCTTGCTAAGGAGTTAAAGAATTCTTGCTGGAACAAGCTAGGTTAATTGAAGGGAAAAGCAACAGCATATTGGTTCTGAATGTTAAGCTTCAAATTATTTTGGAACCTGGTCTCTTAGTAACTGATATGTTACTGTTACATTTTAGAAAAAATAAAAAGGAAATCATGAAATCCTAAGCCATATCTTGGACCTGAATATAGGTTGCTTTAGGCAATGAATAGTTGTCCTTAGAATAATTCTTCATTTCTTGCACTACCTCCAAAACGCAATAAATTTACTGTCTTAGTAGTTTGAAAATGTAGGCTTCCGAATGTTCACTTGCTAAATTCATATTATTTGTAACATATAGGCTATGGTGTCCCTATTCAGTTAGTATGGTTCAGTTGCACCACATTATGTCTTAGGTAAAGTAAACTAAATTAAATTTTCAGGGAGCAATGGAAAATAAAAGGAAATGTTCACAGTCTTTGAGTTATTGATCTTTGTGATTTTCACTGCCTTATACTTTTTCCTGAAAATATTAACACATTTTTATAAATCTTAATTATTTGCATAATTAGAGAAATTTTCCTGATTATCTAGAATACATTAAATTTTGAAGAGAAATCTGGAATATCAAAAATACACATTTTAGACTCATGGTACAGATGTGTACAGTTAAATATGCTTCTCAAGAAAAAAGAATCATGCCTTAATCTAGGAAAGATCATATTTTGATAGAGAAATTTTTGGCAAAACAAAAATATATAAAACCACTTTCTACTCTAATTTAATGACCCTGTTCATTTCCTGTTTTGATTTTGGACATAATTCCAACACTAACTCTCTAGAGACTGTTAAAATTCATGGTCTAAAAATATAATGACAATTTTAACTTTACCACAAGACAAATCTTTCCATTTTACAGTATGATCATGTTGATATACTTTAAAATAAAATGACACTTAGAATTAAGTTCAGAGGTTTTGGAATTTTAAAATAAGACTTTGGATTCGTATAAAAAATAATTAATTTTTTAGTCAATGTTCTAGAAAAATTATTATTTATGCTTATCAATGGAGAAGTAAGTCTACTTGAAAACAGAAAACTAATCTCTCCTTAAGTGAGAAGAAACAGTGATCATGAGCTTGGACATGAAAGTTTACAAATGATCACAGGTCCTAAGCTTCAGTGGGTTCTCCATATATCAATGCCAATAAGGCCTTACTTTCAAATTTCCCTTTTGCATTTATAATGTTTGTAAGGCTTATTGAGAATTTTTTTTTAACTTTTAAGAAAAAGTTTGGAGCATTTTATTATTTTTTGAAAGATAGTTGTGGAACAGGGTGGAGGAACTTGCTGTCTAGAATTTAGAAGCTTAGTAAAATCCCATTATAAATAACAAAGTGTGCTCACTGCTTCTAAGATTACAATTTTAATGGAGAAAATTACCTTAAGCTAAATAATGGTTAACTATATGAATATTAGGGAGGGCAAAGTTGTTGAGGTTGTTGATTCCGATTTTTCTGGTATTGCCCAAATCACAACAAACTACAAGGCCCCCTGTGAAGAGGAAAAAGGTGTACAAAGGGATATTTAAGGTCTTGAAGTCAATCTTCACATATATCACTATTTTTTTAGGCCTAGTATACAATTTTCTCTCTCTGTCTTTCCTTCACAACATTTTCAAATTTCTTTCCTTCTACATTTTCTGGCCCCTGTTTTTGAACAAAGCTGAAAAGTTCAGCTCTGTCAAATTCAAGGAATTTCTCAAGCACATGTAGAGGAGTTTGCAATGACCATCCAGAAATGACATCCTAGGTTTTAAGTTTCTATAATGGACTTGGTATACTTGACTTAGTTAAGTAATAGACCAAGTGGAATCTTCATTAAACAGCTATCGTTCTTTTCTGTTAGCATATACACTACACATGTATTAAGTGTCTCTTAGTCATTTTGCCAATTTAATTTAATAAAGCAAAGAGACATTGTATTAATTTCCTATTGTTGCTGTAACAATACCACTAACTTAGTGACTTAAGTGATATTGTTACAGCAACGGTAGGAATAAAAATTCACACATTTTTATTGTATAGTCTTGTAGGTTAGAAGTCTAATGAGGGTCTCACTAGGCTACAATTAAGATGTCAGTGGGGCTGTTGTTCCTTTTTGGAAGCTCTAGCAAAGAATCTGTTCCTTGTCTTTTGCATCTTTTAGAAACTTCCCACATTCTCAGCTCTTGGCCCCATCCCATCTTCAAAGCCAGCAATGCAAGTCTAGGTCCAGTCTTTCTCATATTGCATTACTGAGATCATCTCTCCTGTCTCCCTCACTTACAAGTATCGTGGTGATTAATTGAACCCACTTGGATAACCCAGAGCAATCTTCCGAGCTCAATGTTCATACTCTTCATTACATCTGTAGGCCCCTTTTTCCATATAAGGTAATATATATCCAAATTCTGAGAATCCGAAAGTGGACATCTTTGAGGAGCCACTATTTGCTTTCTGCAGGCATGCAGAGTTTTTGTTTAATAGTAGAAACATGTCTTTGATGGAGGAAATTATTATATTATTTTTTGATACATTTAAGCATAATTTTTGGCTCATGAGTTTTTCTCTCTCTGCATTCTACATTGTTCGGGACACATTCAAACTATCACTAATTAAATAAATACAGGAGGGAAGAACTTCATTACAAATAATAATAGATAACATTCATGAAGTACTGCACTCAGAGATGAGAACTTTTTATGTCATATCTCACTGAATCCTCATAACAACTCTCTGCAGAAGGTACTTTTCCCTAATTTTTATAAATAATTGAAGATTTAAAATTTTAAAGATTTTTTCCAAGGCCACCCAGCTAGTAAGTGACAACCGTAAGAACACAGATAATGTGGCACCAAGATTGGTGTCAAAACTCCTTGAGAATATGCATATCTATTTGAAAATGTCATAATCACCCATCAGTACATCATTCACAATGGGCACCCACTAACTGTTCGTTGGATTCGTGAATGGTCTTGCACAGTAATATATTTCATTAATTTTCTGCATGGTACAGTTAACAAGTGAGATAAATATGGTCCTAATGGCATAGTATTAAGGAACACTGCTACACTTATTGCATTTAATGTTCTCTGTTGTGGTGATTGTTGGCACTTACCTCAAGAGCAGGCCCTTGTCATTGCCAGCCCTCTGCTTCTTGTATTGTACGTACATCTGTCGTACCTTCTGCTGTACCCCTAGCATCATGTCGCTGCTAAACATTTTGGCAGAAACCTTAGGAACATCTGTTGCCTTAGTCCAGGAACAAACTAGCAGCTCTCTATTAAATGAGGATGGCATTTGGCAGTTCAGGCTTTAGCCTTCTTCGGAAGTCCCTTTGGTCTAAAGCAATGGAACTAAATCCTTAGAGCTCTACCATCCCACATGTGTAGCAAAGGGCAAAACCCATATGAAAGGCATATGGTGGAACAAATCACAATAATGCATCATGCCCTTCTCCCAAACAGTAGTGAGACATCCGTCTTACTGGGATGCCACATGGACACAATATCAACACAGCACCAAGAGGCTTTTGTTCAAACACCATTTCTAGTCCTAACTTTTCCAGATAATGGCTAAGTGATGTTAGCCCTGTGTCTTAACCTCTGTGGGAAGAATAAAAACCTAACCCATCTGGGTTGCCTCTTGTGGGTATATACGTGTGATTAAGATTTGGTCTCTGATTACTAAGGAAACTGTAATTTCCCAAGGAAAAACTCATATATAAAAACCCAATTCATGTAAATCAAAATCACAAACTATCAATAGTTATTGCTAGACATATCCTTCTTGGTTTTCTTCTAAGAAAGAAAAAAGCAGCCAGTGACATCCAGCAACTGATCTGATGCTCATAGCTGGAACTCAGGTTATCACAAACTGATTTGACACTGGCAACTACGCCATGTTGTTCTCCCGTTGAGCATCAATAATGTCATAAACCACCTACTTCAGATCGTGTCACTGTGCATACTACAAAATAGACCAGATCTGTCTCTCTCACTAAAACCAGGTATCTTCCTGTCTCAGTAAATGCTCCCTTACTAGGTTCAATTTTAGGCTTCCTATAGCCTGCCCTATCTATACGTTTTATTGAGATATCTAATCATAACATTTCCCCTGCTTTCTGACAACACACAATGTAGGACAAACTTCTGCTTCCTTAGAACCTTCCTCAAAATTATTCAACAAAAGCCCCAATTCTATAATAGGTTCTTCTGACACTGTTGTACTGAGCTACCTCACAGGTGGTTCCCTGTGGTATGCATTCTCCCTCTGCAATGAATAATACACCAAACTTGTTCACTTACATTTTTACCTGATGGGCATTGACACTTCCAAAAACTAGTTCTATCAATGACTGAAGTCAGATGATTGCATAAAAATCCTAACATTTTACAACAGTCTTAATTAACCTCGTTCTTTAAAAATAAATTTTATTACTGTTATCCATATATATGGTTTAAAAAATCAGCCCAAAAAAGGCTTATAATGAAGAACAGAAACTTCTTGCATGCTCCGTATTAGGCCTTTCTTGCGTTGCTATAAATAAATACCTGAGCCCGGGCCTGGTGGCTCACGCCTGTAATCCCAGCACTTTGAGAGGCCGAGGCAAATAGATCACCTGAGGTCAGGAGTTCGAAACCAGCCTGGCCAACATGGTGAAACACCATCTCTACTAAAAATACAAAAATTAGCCAGGCGTGATGGTGGGTTCCTGTAATCCCAGCTACTCGGGTGGCTGAGGCAGGAGAATCACTTCCACCCGGGAGGTGGAGGTTGCGGTGAGCTGAGATCATGCCATGTGCCACTGCACTCTATCCTGGGCAACAGATCGAGACTCCATCTCAAAAAAAAAAAAAAAATTACTGGAGGCTCTGAGACTGGGTAATTTATAGAGAAAAGAAGTTTAAGTGGCCAAGGTTCTGCAGGCTGTACAGAAAACATGGTGGCATATGCTTCTGGGGAGGCCTCAGGAAGCTTACAATCATAGCAGAAGGTGAAGTGGAGGCAGGCACTTCACGTGGTGAAAGCAGGCGCGAGAGAGTGAAGGGAGGGAGGTGTCATGTACTTTTAACGGGCCAGACCTCAGAAAAAATCACTCGCTATTGTGAGGACAGCACCAAGAGAATGGTGCTACAGCATTCATGAGAAATCCACCTCCATGATCCAATCACCTCCTTTCGGGCCCCACCTCCAATACTGGAGATTAGAATTCAACATGAGATTGGATGGGGACAGAGATCCAAACACTATCATGCTCTTTTCATCCGCATTCCTCAGAGAAGATATGATCTGGGGGTCAATCTACTTTTGATCAGAACCTGATCAAGCTACTATCCTTAATTCTTAATTTCCAAGTACTTCTTTTTCTCTGATTATCTTTTCTTCATTGTGTTTTCTTAGACTTTTGTCAGCACACTGTCCTTTGGATATTCTCTTTTGTGGACCCAAATTTGACGTAATTATTATTTTTATTGATGATGTTATTTCAAATCATTTCTTGACCCTGAAATACTATGTGTGTGGGGGTGTGGAGTGGGAGGATGGAGAGGGTCTTTTTCTTTCCCTTTCACCTTATAGAAGTGACCTTGATTACCTATTTACGTTGAGGAGAATGAGGATTTAGGAAAGTTGACCCATGTTTGTGGGTGTGGGACTTGATAGCGTGGGAGGGAGATAACTCACATGATTTTGATCCCTAAAGGCCAGAATGCTGAAGGTTTTGTTCTAATTTGCTGATGTGTAGTTGTGTCTTCATTGGAAGCAGTCATATATGAAGCTTTTATGTATGAAAGATCTTATGTATGAAATTTGTTCTTAGATTGACAGTATTACTTCACCATGTAAAACAAGCATGGCTTTAGCCCTAATTGTTCTATAATCCTTTTGTTTGCTTACAAAAAAACGGGGAAACTCCAAACGGGCTGAATGAAAGACTTGAGTTAATTTGCTCTTTAGTTACCCATCCAGTTTGCATATCCTTGCCCTCCCTGAACTCTTGGGCAAAACTACTCAGAAATAGCCTATTATTGTGCTCATCTGTAGTTCTACCACAAAGATGCTCTCCTTTGAGTTGACATATGACCTGCAATGTTCTAAGTGCTTTATGTATTTTACCTTGTTTAATTTTCATATCAACCCTGAGTCAACTTAGACATTCTCCATATTGCTTTTAAAATATTGGCACTTGGCCAAGCATGGTGGCTGATGCCTATAATCACAGCAATTTGGAAGGCCAAGGCAGGTGGATTCCTTGAGCCCAGGAGTTCGAGAGCAGGTTGAGCAACATAACTAAACCCTGTCTCTACAAAAATGTATGAATACCAAATTGGCTGGGCATTTTGGCATGCAGCTGTGGTCCCAGCTACTCATGAGGCTGAGGTGGGAGGATCACTTGAGCCTGGAAAATAGAGGTGGCAGTGAGCCAAGATAGCACCACTGCACTCCATCCTGGGTGACAGAGTGAGACCTTGCTTCAAAAAAATTAATAAATTATAAATTATATAAATTTATTTAAAAAATTATAAAGTATAAATTATATAAATTTATTTAAAAATTTGGCCAGGCACAGTGGCTGAAGCCTGTAATCTCAGCATTTTAGGAGGCCAAGTTGGGCAGATCACCTGAGGTTAGGAGTTCAAGCCTGGCCAACATAGTGAAACCCTGTCTCTACAGAAATACAAAAATTAGCTGGGCATGATGGCGGGTGCCTGTAATCCCAGCTACTTGGGAGGGTGAGGCAAGAGAATTGCTTGAACCCAGGAGGCAGAGGTTACAGTGAGCCAAGATTGAGCCACTGAACTCCAGCCTTGGCAACGGAGTAAAACTCTGTCTCAAAAAAAAAAAATTATTTATTTTTTAAATTATATAATTTAAATATAAATTATGTGTTTTTAAATATCTACATATAAAAATTATATATTTTTAATTTAATTATATAAATATATAAATTATATAAATTTATTTAAAAATTATAAATATGTAATTTATATAATTTAATTATATAATTATAACTATATAATTTTTAATAAACTTATATGATTTATAATTATAAAAAGTGTGTAATTTATAAATATATAAATTATATGATTTATAAATATACAATTTTATATATGAATATATAATTATATATACATATAATTATATAAATGATATAATTTATATATAATTTATTTATATATAATTATATCTAATATACTATATATAATTATATATAATATACTACATATAATTATATAATTATATAATAATATACTATATATAATTATATAATTATATTTAATTTTATAATTATATATATTATATAATTTTTTATATGTAATTATTTATATATTTATATATAATTATTTATATGTTATTTATAATTATTTATATATTTATATATTTATAATTATATATTTATAATTATTTATATATTTATTTATAATTATTTATATATTTATATATAAATATTTATATATTTATAATTATTTATGTTTTTATATTTTATATTATTTTATACTTTATATTTTATTATTTTATATTTTATAGTATTTATATATTTATAATTATTTATATATTTATATATAATTCATATATTCATATATTTATATAAATATTCATATATTTATATATTTATTTATAATTATATAATCTATTTATAAATGTATAAATTATATAATTTATAAATATATGAATCATATAAATTTATTAAAAATTATATAATTTGTAGATTTAATGCTATTCCCATTAAACTACCATTGACATTCTTTACACAATTAGAAAAACATACTTTAAATTTCATTTGGAACCCAAAAGAGCCCATATAGCCAAGACAATCCTAAGCAAAAAGAACAAAACTGGAGGCATCAGGCTACCTGACTTCAAACTATACTACAAGGCTACAGTAACCAAAACAGCATGGTACTGGTACCAAAGCAGATAGACCAATAGAACAGAAAAGAGACCTCAGAAATAACACTACACGTCTACAACCATCTGATCTTCAACAAACCTGACAAAACCAAGCAATGGGGAAGGATTCCCTAGTTAATAAATGGTGCTGGGAAAATTGACTAGCCATGTGCAGAAAATTGAAATTGGACCCTTTCCTTACACCTTGCATAAAAATTAACTCAAGATTGATTAAAGACTTAAATGTAAAACCAAAAACCATATGCACCCTAGAAGAAAACCTAGGCAATACCGTTCAAGATGTAGGCATGGACAAAGATTTCATGATGAAAACGCCAAAAACGATTGCAACAAAAGTCAAAATTGATAAATGGGATCTAATTAAACTAAAGCGCTTCTACACGGCAAAATAAATTATCATCAGGGTGAACAGGCAATCCAGAGAATGGGAGAAAATTTTTGCAATCTATCCATCCAACAAAGGTCTAGTATCTAGAATCTACAAGGAACTGTAATTTACAAGAACAACAACAACAACAACATCAAAAAGTGGGCAAAGGATATGAATAGACACTTCTCAAAAGAAGACATATTTGTTGCCAAGAAACATATGAAAAAAGCTCAACATCACTGATCATTAGAGAAATGCAAATCAAAACCATAATGAGATACCATCTCACACCAGCCAGAATGGAGATTATTAAAAAGTCAAGAAACAATAGATGCTGGCGAGGCTGTGGAGAAATAGGAACACTTTTACACTGTTGGTAGGAATGTAAATTGGTTCAACCATTGTGGAAGACTGTGTGGTGATTCCTCAAGAATCTAGAACCAGCAATACCATTTGACCAAGCAATCTCATCACTGGGTATATACCCAAAGGAATATACATCATTCTACTGTAAAGACAAATGCACACATATGTTTATTGCAGCACTATTCACAATAGCAAAGACATGGAACTAACCCAAATGCCCACCAAGGATAGACTGGATAAAGAAAATGTGGTACATATACACCATAGAATGCTATGCAGCCATAAAAAGGAATGAGTTCATGCCCTTTGCAGGGACATAGATGAAGCTGGAAGCCATTATCCTCAGCAACCTAACACAGGAACAGAAAACCAAACACCACATGTTCTCACTCATAAGTGGGAGTTGAACAATGAGAACACATGGACTCAGGGAGGGAAATATCACACACCGAAGCCTGTTCAGGGGTGGGGGGCAAGGGAAGGGAGAGCATTAGGACAAATGTTTAACACATGCAGGGCTTAAAACCTAGATGACAGGTTGATAGGTGCAGCAAACCACCATGGCACATGTATACCTAAGTAACAAA
Source organism: Homo sapiens (assembly GCF_000001405.40). Classification (NCBI taxonomy): domain Eukaryota; kingdom Metazoa; phylum Chordata; class Mammalia; order Primates; family Hominidae; genus Homo; species Homo sapiens. The sequence continues at coordinate 51,128,084 of NC_000010.11, forward strand.
CCTCCATGTTTGGGGCATGTATCCCAGAACTTAAAGTAAAATAAAAAGTTAAGAAAAATTAAAATGCAAAAAGGCGATTAACATTTTTTCTTTGCTTTAAGAAATGAGAGGTTTTTGTGATACTTAAAAAAAATCCGGATAGACTTAGGAATATAAATATATCAATTCGCTATCTAATTTAATTGAACCCAGAGTTGCACGTATAGCAAACTGTTCTCACACATGAATTTGAACTTTAAGTGATTCCATATGCACGGAATTCAAAAGCTATTCTAATGTTTTAAGAATACGTTCATTATTTTTATCAGTATTTTTGTGTGGGACATTAAAATTAAGTGAATTTCCATTTGCCCTCTTTGTCATAAGTTAATCCATCTACTTTGCATCTGTGGCTTTGCTTTGAAAAACTAATGTTGTGTAGCTTTTAACTCCTAATTTACAAAGTAAAGGAAAAAAATAAAATGTATGGCAGCAACGTGACCTCTAGGCTGAACAGATTTCAAGATGAAATGCCTAGTATCTATTTACACTTAGACCAGGGTAAGTGGAATTGCAAATCAAATGCATCTAGTTTTCCAAAGTCTGATAAAGAGCCTTTTGTAGAATCTTACTTTTAATTGCCATAGGAATACATTATACATTTGGAGTAATTAAAATTAAATACTTGGTAATTAGAAGTTAGATTTTATTGCTTATGTAGTAAGAAACATACACAGATGCTTAAGAGAGTAAAAATTTAATATTCATGTCTCAAGCTTAGCATTAATAACCATCGATTTGGCAACAAAGACGTTAATTCGATGAAAGTTTATGCCAGTACAATGAAAACAAATATATTTTAATGATAGTAATTTTTAGTTACTTGTAATGATGGCCTGCAAGAAGACATCTTACTTCAGAGTTTTAATGTGACTCCTACTCTTGCCTCTTGGCTATCTGGAATACGGTCTCTGTAAATTTTTCAGGTGATCTAATGATGATGATGATATTGACATATTATGTTTGTAAGCACTTTGTCTTTTGACATGCTTTTATATGCGTCATCTCAGTATCTTTATCACCACCTCCAAGTTTTTCACAACAGGAAAACACAATAGAAGACATAAACAGGGCCGGGTGTGGTGGCTCATGCCTATAAGCTTAGCACTTTGGGAGGTAGAGGCAGATGGATCACATGCGGTCAGGAGTTCAAGACCAGCCTGGCCAACATGACAAAGCCCCATCTCTACTAAAACTATGTAATCCCAGCTACTCGGGAGGCTGAGGCATGATAATCGCTTGAACCCGAGAGGCGGGGGTTGCAGTGAGCCAAGATCGTGCCACCACACTCCAGCCTGTGCGATAGAGTGAGACTCCGTCTCAAATAAATAAATAAACAAAGAAAAAAAAAAAGAAAAAGAAAACATAAACAGGAATATTTCCAACTATCTGCCTGCAAAAGCCTTGAAGTCTAATTTGTGGACAAAACTTTTTCACTTATAGTTAAATTATAAGGTAGAGTCAAGTGAGACAGTTAGACACATCCCCAAGGAAAGAGCTTCATTAAAGTCTTTGGAATTTAAACTTGGATATGACACAAACTAGAGATCTACAAGTCAGATTGGAACCATGCATATATTTTAGTTTCCTAGCAAGGCAGTTGGAAAGCATTGAATTTGATGCCTTTTGGTAGCCACGTTGCCACAATATTCTCCAATCTCTTTTCTCATTTGTGATGACTTCCCTAGCCCTGAAAGAAGGGTCACATTTTTCCCTCACTCCATAGGGCCCTGGTCCTATCAAATTTTATGTGAATAGGGCTTCCAGGAGCCTCAAGGTGTAGGACTTTCCAAAGACAGTGGAGTTTCCTACTGCTGGTGTGGAGGATAGAGAGACCTAGTCTCATTGGGTGCAAACAGGGAAGATTTTAGGGAAGAGATGACTTCTGAGGTGGACCTTCAAGCATGAACTTTATACTAATAGTTTTGCATGGATAGGCTGACATACAGGAAACGACTGGAAAACTGGGGACCTGATTTGTTTAAAACTGAAGTAAATCAGGGCTTTAGTTACACTACTTACTTGCCAATCCAGTTGTTCAAGTCAGAAGCCTATGAATCATCTTAATAAACCTCTTCTCTCCTCCATTCTCTAACAGAGAAGTTAGAGAATGGCTTCCCTTTCTAAATATTTTCCCAGCCTCTATTCTCCATCCTTCCAGACCTCATCATAGTCCAGATCCTAATCATTACATGGCAAGCAATCTGTCTCTCTGACTGTGAGAATCCCTGCCTAAGTGCCTCCATATGTCTCTGTAGCCTACACAATAAAGAGAAACTTCCCTAGCATGACATAAACAGTCTAGTATAGCTCGGCTCCTCCATCTCTCTTCATCATTATTTCTTGGTCTGCTCATTTACTATCAAACTATTTATAGTTCCCTGAATACATCATTTTATTTTATATCCTGTATCTTTAACATATTTCAGAAAAATAAATTCCATCTACTTTTTTTTATTTTATTTTTTGTCATGCATCACCCACTCAATTTTCTGGTTGAACAATAAAATATAAAAAGCTAAATAATCCTAGCACTTTGGGAGGCAAAGGCAGGTGGATCACGAGGTCAGGAATTCAAGACCAGCCTGGCCAAGATGGTGAAACCCCGTCTCTACTAAAAATACAAAATAATCAACCGGGCATGGTGGCAGGCACCTGTAATCCCAGCTACTAGGGAGGCTGAGGCACACATTTGCTTGAACCCGGGAGGCAGAGGTTGCAGTGAGCCGAGATCTGAGATAGCGCCACTGCACTCCAGCCTATGCAACAGAGCGAGACTCCATCTAAACAAAAACAAAAAAAGAAAAAAGAAAAAGAAAAGCTAAATAGTGATTAAACTGGACAAACTGACATTCTACTCAAGGAAATAAAGCTGTGCAGGATGAAAATGAGTTTTATTAAAGTCCAAATATTTATTATATGCCATATTAAACAGTAAATAGTCAAAGCATTTATTTCTTTTTAGTAACAATTAATGTTCCTGGTAGATTTTCCCATCCTCTGAAATATTTGTATGGCACGTTTTGGTTTGATTTCCTTCATTCATAATTTTAGTTTCCTTCATACTTCTTGATCTTCAAGTATCAAATAATGTTTTGAAGTACAATTAGAAGTATGCAGAATTATTTCATATCTGAGTTAATCTTTCCAACAAATAAATGAAACATCTTATTTTTGTAGAGTTTATTCTACAAAAATATTCTGAGGAAGGCCTCAAAAATCTAATTATCTCATTGTAAAACTCCACATTAACAGTACTACAGATAACTGTTTTAGTTAAAATAGACATATAAATCATTGTTCTTGTAACTTTTGTTTAACCTATTAAAACGGAAGATGATGGGCTGGGAGCGGTGGCTCATGCCTGTAATCCCTGCACTTTGGGAAGCAGAGGTGGGCGGATCACCTGAGGCCAGGAGTTCGAGACCAGCCTGATCAACATGGTGAAACTCCATCTCTATATACATACATACATACGTGCATACATACATACATACATACAGTGGAAGATGAATGTGGAAGGATAAGGTACAGTTTGTTTACTTGTGCACAAGCATTGCAACATCAAGTTGTTTGTCTCCTAGTGGCAGTTAATAGTATATGGTTCTTCATTCCTTTTTCATTCAAACAGCTTTCATTGAGTGCCTACAAATGTGTGATAAGAAGAGCTCAGCTTAGTGTTTAGAGACTTTCTCACGTTATGCAGGCTTCTTACAAGGTTTGGTGGACCTTGAAATCCATTTGCATTTTTTGGAGGGGTGGGGATGGACAGCTCTGGCAGAATTTTTATGCCATAAAAATGGCTGAAGTAAATGTTATCTGTAATTTTTCTCAAGAAATGATTGCTTGATCAAACATACAATAAATAGATTTTTTTACAAAGCTTAAAAGAATCTATTCCCAGCCCACCCCTCTGTCTTAGCTCGGGAAATAAACAAAAATTAAAATTACCTGTAAACCTCAGGTGTGGGTTTGAAGTATTAAAAAAAATGGAAAAATTGAGCTGAAACTTTCTTGCATAGAGAGATATCAGAGGTACGTCTTTCTAATCAAGGACAGACTCTCCATCACTTATCCTGATTTACACTTTTAGTTCTTCTGGGTTTGGGTTTGATTGGGCTGGACAGCTAGTTAGCTGTTGCCTGCCTGAGGCTACTTGCCCTAATGCAGAGAAATTCCTGGTTCTCAGAGTCACAGGCAGAAAAACTTGAAATTATTTATTACTACACCTCATCTCTTTCAATTAAAAATATTAAGACAAATTATAATAAGATATGTCTATTCAATAAGATTAGTAAAAGACACTGAAAAACTTAACAGTCAACATCTTACATGTTACAAATGTCATCATAAGGCTATTTCTTGTGTCTTCCCTACATAAAAGGTTAAACTTTATTATTAAAATGTAGGTTTTTTTGAAGACACTTTATTGGGGTAGCTAGAGTAACTCTGTGAGAGACAGAACTCTGTTTGTCTGATTTAATAAAAAGACAGAGCCTATGCAATCTACAAGTGTTTCTCCAGGAATGATTTATGGACATCAGCACGTACATACCGTATGTATTTTATATATTATATATATTATGTTATATATATATTATATATGTAATATAATATATATATATAAAATTTAAGGTTCTTGTTAAAAAGGCAGATGGTAAAATAGCTAAGTAAATTTCAAATGTCTCTTCACAAAAACTGATAAATAAGTGAAGTAATGGATATGTTAATTAGCTTCATTTAATTATGCCACATCATATACATATGTCAAAACATCAGAGTGTACCCCATAAATGTATATAATTATGATTTGTTAATCAAAAAATGCATATGGTCGAGTACTGGCTGAGATCTACTAAATCCAAATCTCTGGGTTGGAGGCTTGGTGTCTGCATTTTAACTTGTCCAAATGAGCCTTACAATGAAATCTGAGACATAGTTAGGTGGATGGTGAGAAGTACCCTCAGTGATGGCTGTCATATATGGATAATCCTTTCCTAAGATAAATCAGAGTGATGGGGGCCAAAGTGCAAATGTCTTCACTTATCTGAAAGGGAATCTGCATGTGGATGGCAAAACCAACATCCTATACTATACTCCCAATCCCATAAGCACTCCAGCCACACATGCCAATTGTAGCAGCTAGTCTTCACCAGGAATCTTCTTATACCACAACTGTGCCCCTCTTGCAAAGCAGGGTACCTTTTCTCTCCTTTGCCTGATCCACTGCTCTTACAATTTGATGATAACCACCATCAGTTTTGCACTGATCACTCCTAGGCACCTAAACCATTGTTCTATGTATTGTAGTGCAATCCCAGAGATAGGTGTTGTTTTCATGCTCATTTTACAGATAAGAAGACTGAGGCTCAGATAAGCTATGGAATCATGGACAAACATTGAGGAAATAGCAGGAAAAAAGATTCAAACTCAGGTCTTTCTGCAGCCACTCTGCTGGGCTGCTGTCATGCAAACATTTACTGCCTGACTTTCTGGACAAGAGTGTGGAGAGCTTTGATTTCTAAAACTGCAGCACAGCTAATAATGAAAAAAGAGATGGCCTAGTTCTTTATTTCCTTATCCCCTACAAGCTTTTATACATGATTTTAATATCAAAGGGAAGATATTAAATCTCACTCGTGAATTATGATGAACACTAATTCACAGACTAAAAAAATTCTGCATAAATGTGTAGATGTGTATTGTATGCATTTTGTGAAAAAATATATTAAAAAGATAAATGGGAGAGGTGCCAGTACATTGTTAAAGCCTAAAATCAACAACATTGTATCTCTTCTCTTCCTAATTAATTTATTCCTGGATCTTGACATAATAAAACTATGTCTTTTATCTCCCTGCTCCCTCATTTAGAATCTTATTTAAAGTTAACTTATAAGAAAGCAAAACTTAAGAACTCAACATCTTTAAAAGTCTTACAGATCTCAAAACTGAATTCAAAATTTTAATGTTAATTGATTCTAATATCCGCCATTATCAGAAATCTGAATGCATTCTTGTTGCTTCCAAATTTAGAGGTCTAACAACTATTTGTACTTTTAAAAACTTCAATAAATAGGAGTCAAGGATTTAATGTGCCAGATGAGAAATTTTGCAAATCATTATAATTACTGGAATTCCTAAAATCTGTTTGCAGATGTGGGGAGTTTCGTCATTACTTCAGGCAACCTGTATTCTCACTGTGGTTGTAGCATCAATTAACTCTGCTTTCATTAGCTTTCTCATTTTTAAAATCAGGGATTGATTTTAAAATCAGATGATCTCTAACTGATGATCTCTTATAGCTCAAATACCTTTTACTTCTTTGAAAAATGTAGTACTTATTGTGATACCATGCAGTAGTCCTGAAAATGCTTCAAAAGGATTCCAAGTACTTTATGTTACTGTAAACTGCACCATGAATGTGGAAAGTTGAGCACAAATGGCCAAATAATAGTGGAGAAAATAATAGTGAATGTCAACCTTTTGTAGCTCCTTTTCTATCGTAGATTTAATGGAATGTGAGTCTGCAGACTTCACAGAGAACTATTTTTGAACAGAAATATGTATTTGAACCCCTTCCCCTTTCTTAGATATTTGAATGACATTATAGTTGTATCTAAACTACACCGTGGTCTAATTTAACACCTGGAATGGCATACCACTTTCCCTATAGTGTACAATATTTGGTATACCACCACCCTGAAATATTGGCTCATAAACTACTGAAAAAATATTGTTAATCGTAGAAAAGTAGAATATCACCCAATAAACCAGTGTATATACAGCCCAGAGACTCCTTTGGAAAATAATAAAATGGATAAATAATTGGGATTTTAGCAGCAATTTGAATAACTTATTTACTCACTTACTCAACAAATATTTTCTCATCAGACATTCATTCCCTGTCCATGTTGAGTTTGTGGAGCACTTGTGTGAGGGAATATATTGAACAAATAAGTTTAAGTATGATGACTTTTACAAAAGTAGAAGTAGAGGGTGCTGTGAGAACCTAAAAGGAGTTAATTCATCTAATTTGAATGGATGGCTGAATCAGTGGAGGATGTCTGGGAAAACTTTCCCAATTAAGGGATTTTTAGCAGAGATCTGAAAAAATAAGCAGATAATATGCCAAGCAAGATCTGGGAAAACCTTTTTAGGCAGAGAGAATAACTTATTTGACGTTTTTAAAGCAGGAGAGAGTATTCTTTTTGATAAATTAAAAGAGAACTAGTAGAGTTATAGTGCAAATCCAAGAAGGAAAATGGGGCACGGAGTAGACTAGAATTCTGATGGGTATGAAAGTCAATGTAAGAATGATGGACTTATTCAGGGGCACTCAGAAGTTTTAAGAAGGGGTGGGGCAAAAAACCCAGAATATAATCAGAGTTAGTTTTTCTAAATAGTATTTATTTTGAAATAGTTGAATACTCACAAGAATTTGCAAAGAGTAGTTTAGAGAAGGTTTGTGTACCTTTCACCCAGTTTTCCTCAATGATAAGACGGTGCATCAGCATAGTATGGTGTCAAAATCAGGAAATTGATGTTGATTAACCATGGTTAATAACAATGTGATTAACCGTGCTGTAGATGTTATTTGAATTTTTCAGTTTTTACATGCAAAATTTGTTTTGTTTTGGTTTTGGTATTCAAAAGTTCGCTAGAATGTTTTTAAAGGAGTGAAAAGGATTAAATATGGATATTGGGGGAGCAGTTTGTAAAATAAAAAGCAAAGTTGAGTTGATAGATGAAGGTATCCTAACCTAGAAGTGGCATGGACTCAAGAAATATTTAGGAGGTAGCCATGGACACAGGAAGGGGAACATCACACTCTGGGGACTGTTGTGGGGGAAGGGGGGAGGGGGGAGGGATAGCATTAGGAGATATACCTAATGCTAAATGACGAGTTAATGGGTGCAGCACACCAGCATGACACATGTATACATATGTAACTAACCTGCACATTGTGCACATGTACCCTAAAACTTAAAGTATAATAATAATAAAATAAAAAAAATGATCAGTGAGTCTTGGTGAGTGGATATGGGGTGTGAGAGAGGGGATAAGTTCGAAGGTGACCTATGGATTTCTATTTTGAGCAATTGGGTAGGTGGTGATGTTCCCAGTTGAGGTTAAAAGTCCTGGAGGAGAAGCAGATTTGCTGGGAAAGGAAGATGCATTCAGTTGGGACTTCGGTGAGCTTCAGGTACCTATGTAGGCAAGAATGCTTTCTGCCTGGAGCTCTGGAAAAAGCTAGGGTGTGAGATATAGATTTAGTCATCCTCAGCTTATAGATAGTAATTTCAGCGAAATTATCTCAGGAGAATATGTTAAATGAAAAGATTTTAAAAAGTTTAGAATAGAGCCCTGGGATCTAAAAATATTAAGTGGTTTGGGAAGAAGAATGAGCTGGTAAAGAGACTGAGAGGAAATAATGAAGAACATAGAGTTTTTAGTGTGTGTGTGGGAGGGGGGCGGGGGGAGAGAGAGAGAAGAGGAAGGGAGATGAAAATACAGGAGATATATGGAAAAATAGCAAAATTATGTCATATAAGCAAAGTCCTAGTAAGCTCTATCTCTTTTCTTTGATTTCTTCTGAAGTTATAATTGGAAGGTTTCTTGTAGTTCTCTATGTGTGCCATTCTTTTGAAGTTTAGTATTTATAATGTCGCCAACTCAATTTCATGATAAAGTGTGATGTCTTCTGCAACATTATTTACATCTTTCAAAATGTTATTTTGGATTGAGAATACTTGAATATGCCACATTTTAGTAATTATTAATTAATTGTTTCTTTTTTTTTGAGACGGATTTCTCTGTTGCCCACGCTGGAGTGCAGTGGCGCCATCTTGCCTCCTGGGTTCATGCCATTCTCCTGCCTCAGCCTACCCAGTAGCTGGGACTACAGGCGCCCGCCACCATGCCTGGCTAATTTTTTTGTGTTTTTGGTAGAGACGGGGTTTCACCGTGTTAACCAGAATGGTCTTGATCTCCTGACCTCCTGATCCGCCTGCCTCGGCCTCCCAAAGTGCTGGGATTACAGGCGTGAGTACCGCACCCGGCCTAATTAATTATTTCTTAAAGTGAATAGGAACTTAAAAACTATGGCCGTGGGGGCAGGGTGGGGGGCAGGGAGGAGTGGTAAATTGTGCAGAAACGTTTAGGTTTAACAAGATCCAAAATCCTGTAATTAAGGTATATTTTAATTACATATATTTAAGCTATAAATATATGACAGTAAATATACCAACAACTGGATCATACCCCAAGCTAACTGAAATCAAAGTTTCAGGATAAGTCCTGGGCATCTGTATTTTTAAAAATCTCCAATTGACTCTGATGCCTAGTGTGGATTGAGAATGATTGGAACACTTAGTACTATGAGAATCTTAGGGGTGGTGAGAAGGTTCTATACAGCAACTTGAATGCTATGACTCTGTAGAAACCTCACTGATACCAGTATAATGAAAGTCATGTCAAATAAATTTTCTTGAAAGAAAAGAGGTAGCCAGTAAAGAAATAAAGGACAAGAAATTTTGAGTTGACCTACTGAATTTGGAAGTAATCATCACAAATCCCATTGAAAGTTGGAGTGAATGAGGCAGGGGGTTGATTTACGGTAGATTTATGCTATGACGAGCTGAGTGACAAGTTCAGAATGACAAGCTGAAATGTCTCAGAATCATTTCATATTAGATGGGAAGAAAAGGTCACACCAGTTTGAGTAAGTGATAACTGAAGCCTGAAATAAAGCTTTGGTTAAAGGAATGATGCAAGAGAAGGTTGATGATTAAATGTTGTGGGAAGAAACACATGAATTTTGCTAGACATGTGACTGGGGATAATAATAAGCTGAAAGTTACTTTGGGGACTTTCACTAGGAGGGGAGGTTATGTATTGGTGGTTCCAAAAGTAGCTTATTAATTAGAAGTATTTACTTTTTACTTGTAGATTTACTCCTCATTATGTTTTCAAAAGAATGTAAGGTATCTAAGAAGGTCATTTTTAGTGGTTAAAATTATCTATGAACATAAGGAATAAATAATAAACATGAGGATAACTGAGTCAAAAGTGAAATGAGGTAGTCATTTTATTAACTATAAACAGGAGCTTTGCTTTACTGGTATTTAGAATTTCAAAACACTGTATTCAGCACAGAAACCTTAATGATCCTCATGGTGCAGTCATTCTTCTGAATGGTGTCATTTATAATGCAATTCTAAACTTAGGAAATAAATGGAGGGGAGGGTAATGAGGCTTATATGATGCCAAATGAGTCAACATATGATTAATATTGAGTCTCTTTCACGTTCACTATTGCCTGCCTTTCTGCAAAGTGGTTTTTTGTCTGCACTAACTTGGTATGAGAATCAAATCTATTCAATAAATTTCTTGCATGGATTATCCTGTTAGGTTGCTAACAAGTATATTTCCTCAATATTAGTGAATTCTTCTTACTACAAATATGGCAGTCTAATTTTGATTTAGTTCAGGTTGATTGCTATTTTGCTTTGATAAATGAGGAGGAATCCAGTCTTTTTGGACATTGAGTTTTGTTTTTTTTTTTTTTTTTTTTTTTTTTGAGACAGAGTCTTACTCTGTCACCAGGCTGGAGTACAGTGGCATGATCTCGGCTCACTGCAACCTCTGCCTCCCAGGTTCAAACGATTCCCCTGCCTCAGCCTCCCGAGTAGCTGGGATTACAGGCATGCGCCACCATGCCCGGCTAATTTTTTACATTTTTAGTAGAGACGGGGTTTCACCATGTTGGCCAGGATGGTCTTGATCTCCTGACCCCGTTGATCAGTGCTCCTCAGCCTCCAAAGTGCTGGGATTACAGGCATGAGCCACTCCGCCCGGCCACATTTTTTGAACAGGTGATGAGACCTACTCTCCGTGTAAACTTACCACAGTAAGCGTTGTAGACTTTAGTATTTATCTACTTAGTGTGGTATGTGTGTGTTTGTGTATAGTTTTTTAAATGAAGAGCATAGCAGTAAGTCTTTCTAGCTTTCTTTCTGGGTAAGTCTGCTTTCTAGCAAGTTTCAGTTGCTGTGATACCCTTATGCTTAAAGTAATCTGAGAAATAAGACCATGATAAACGCATTTTTAAATGATTTTTAAAAACTAGCACAGTGGAGAGCAGTGTTTATTATTGCTAGACTGAAGCACAATATTCATTTCTAACAAATCATTGGATGACCTCACAGATAGAATAGCCAATGATTTAAAAGTAATCATAGTAGAAAATATGGTTCTGGCAGGAATCCAAAGGATGAGCCATTCCTTCTCCTTGAAATGCTTCCCTCTCACCACCACCCTGATGTCCACTGCCCTGGTTGTCTTTTTGTGTCTCTGCTATTTCTCAGTCTCCTTTGTGGGACCTCTCTCTTGACCCCACCTCTAGGTTTATTTGGTCTTTAAGAACCAGTTACTTGTCTAAGTCTAAACAACCAATGTCTATTCAGTTGCTCAAGCTGGAAACCTGGGGTTGTTTCCTTTTCCCCATCCTTACATTCATTCTACCAGTAAGTCCTATAGCGCCCACTTGCAAAATATACTTTCAAGTTAGTCTCACTTCTATTCCTCTCTGCTGTCACCATCCTAATCTAGGCCATCCTTATGTTTTACTTGAAAATAGTGCAATAGCATCCTTTCTGAGTTTTCCTTCTCCTCTCCTTCCACCTGGAATTGCTCCAGTTTATTCACTGAAATTCTAGAGATGTTTTTTACAATATAGATTATACCATGTCACTCATTATCTTTGCTTTACCCCTTTAACAGCTTTTCATTTCACTAAGAATTCAATTCTTTCTCACCATCTGCAAGACCATGTCTAAAACAGACTCTGCTTATGTCTCGAAATTGACCTGTAGCTATTCTTTCTCTTGATCTAAAGGATCTGGCTCACCAGCTTCCTTCTCCAAACTAGAGCCAGAAAATATTCTGTTCCTTCTGCTTTGAGCACCTTTCCTTTAGATTTCCTATGGGGTGGCTCACTGATCCTTGAGTCTCAGCCTAAATGCTGCATTGTCAAACAGGTCTTCATTTTACATGCTAAGTAGATCTTCCCCTTTATTCTGTATTCAGCACCCTTTCTGTGACCTTTAAAACACTTTCTCTGTCTTAACGATATATTTGTTTGTTTACCTCTGTATTAACAAGAGGTACTACTAAAATTTTAGCTGAGAACACAGATACTGTTTATTTCACTTACCCCCTTACCCCTAATCCCTAGCACAATGTCATATATGAGGTACTCAAAAAATGCTTGTTGAATGAATAAATGAATCAACAGTGTAAGGATCAGGCTGAGCAGACTACTGTGTAAAGGCAAACTGACACACCTGGACCAGCGTGGTTGTTAAGAGGGGGTCTGGGGTGGAAGTTAAATGTTGCATAACCATTATTTTAACTAACATGACTGATTTGTTTCTAAGTTTCCATTGGGAGGATTAGGTGAGATAACATGTGCAAAAATGCCTAAAATGAAAATATCGTATACTCAAAAGGCTGTCTTCTGTGTAGCTCTCCTCCTTGTACTAGACTGTGTGGCCAAGAAAAGTGAGTGTCCTCATAGACTACCTCCCCTTTTCATATCCCTCTCTCCATTCTCTTTGTTTATTCTGGGAAATGACCAAGAACCCTAGAGACTGTGGCAGGGCTGTGTGCAGAGTGTGTGTCCAGCAATTCTTGCACCTCTAATAGCATATTCCTACCTGTGGGTAGGTCATAACCCAACCACTGCATGAAAGAGTCCCCTGAAGTCCTGAGAACTGCTGCGCCAGAAACATTCTGGAATTGCTGCCTTCTGTCTGCCCTCTGAATTCTTTTGTTCCATCCAGCTGCCTCAGGTTGAAGAGCCTATATCTTGGGCTTAGTTTTCATTTGTATGCTTGAACTCCCTTTGGATTAATTCTTTAAACTGTTTCTCTCTAGACCACAGTTTTGCTCAGTGTCCCACAACCTCGGGGACCAACACTCATCCCTCTATACCCTGTCCCTGATTTCTGGAATCTCAGCCTGAAAAAGACCTCAGCATCCACCTTTAACTAGCTGGAGGCCTTCACACAGAGTTACATCATGTGCCTGCCTAGTTAACTGCAGTTCAAGCATACACTGTGCTCTGAATCCCATGTCTTTTGCATTTACTTTTTGTACTCAACCTCCTTGGCTTCACGGCCTGCCTAAACTTCTTTATTGCTTCTCTGTTTCTTTTTGTCCTCCTGTCAGTGATTGTTGTGACCTTATTTTCACAAAGGATACATTTTTAGGGGTGTTTTTCCAGATTGTGGATAACACTTACTTCCATAAATACTATACTTATGTCAGTAGCAACTCTAGGTCACTCTTTAAATCACTTTGTGGATAATTATAGTTGTGTTTTAAAACCGTCAATCACTATTGCCTGCATTTACCTGCAGTGGCTGATTTTGAAGCTAGAATTGTTGTGTTGGAAATATAATAAATATTAACTATTTACTACTGAAAGGGACAAAGTTTTAAAGGACATATGGTACATGATAAATAGTGGATTCAAGTTATAAAATCACATTGATTTATCTTCTTTTTTCTCAACCTTCCTTTCTTCCTACCCCCTCTGTCTCATGCCGTGAAAATCTTAAGGTAGCTAACTCAGATTATAGTGTATGAACCCTTATACTAACATGCTTTAAGGTTACAAATTGTACATATTACATTTCTACTGTAAAGTACTTATATGGAAAGCATTAATGTTTGGTATCTTATATTCAGACTTCTCTGAAATATTATAATTTCTCTGAAATATTATAGGTCATTAGTTACATTAATTACGAAATCTGCCATTTTGCAGTTTTTTGGAATTTTATATTTTATCTTTTAATGGGAGCTTCCTTTTTATTTGAAATTCAAATACAGATCTCCATCCAAATTGATAACAAATTTTGTGTACTTCATTTCTCCTCCATATGTACATATTGAAGTCATCTGAGGCAAGGTATGTAGGAATAAAAGGAGAGAAAAGGAGAAAGAAAGATGTGTGCTCAAGTCAGATAAGAGAAAACAAATGTGAACATGCTGGAATCAAAATAAGTTGAATCCATTGCTGAATTCAAGACGTGTTTCTGTATTGAGATTATCCTTCTGTAAAACCCATAAAGCATGCTCAAACTTCTGTAATGTAGAGAATGAACTAGATCAGAAAGGGGATCTATGAATGAACTATGACAGAATTTTGAACTATAGAATTATTGTGAAATGGCCACAATTCCCTGCTGATAACTATTGCAGTGGATTTGTTGACTCTTTATTCAGGTGAGTTTAAACGTTAAAATGGCCAAAGATATGAGAAAGAGACAGAAAAAGAGAGAAGAAACAGTGAGAAAAAGAGAGATAGGAAGATCCAGACAGAGAGAGACACAGACATAGAGAGAGAGAGAGAGACAGAGATTATGAATGAATGAATATGAATGTGTTTCAAATAAAAGAAGGTTTAAAAAGTGTTTTATTGCAGGCTGATAGTCAGTGGACCTGAGTCCTACTTTAATCTCTCATATGAACTTGGCAGGCATCTAACCTCTTTATACTTTTGTTTCCTTACCTGTCAAATAAGGACAAATAAGGTTCTACCTACTGCATAGGTCTGTGGCAATAATACAATGAAACGTTAGATATGGAAATGTTTTGAAAACATGAAATGCTCTATGTAGATAAAAGTCATATTATCCAAGCATAACATTCTTCTAAAATTTTTTAATTGACAGATAACATCATATGCTTTTATCATGTACAATATGATGTTTTGAAATATATATGCATTTACAATGGTTAAATCTACCTAATTAACAAGTGCATTACTTTACATAGTTATCATTTTTATGGTGAGAATACAACATCCATTGTCCTTACATGTTTCAAGAATACAATATGACATTAACTACAGTTGCCTTGCTGTACAGTAGGTCTCTTGAAATTTATTCTCCCTATTAAACTGTAATTATGTAAACTGTGACCAACATCTCCTAACACCTTTTCCCCCCTAACTATCCCAGCCTTTGGTAACAACCCTCCTCCTCCCTAGTTCTATGAGATCAACTTTTTAAGATTCCACATATGAGTGAGATCGTGTGGTATTCATCTTTTTGTGCTTGGCTTGTTTCACTTAATATAATATCCTCTAGGTTCAACCATGTTGTTGTAAATGGCAGAAATTAATTATTTTTTATGGTTGAGTAATATTCCATTGTGTCTGTATAACACATTTTCTTTATTCATTCATGCATTGATGGACACTTAGGTTGATTCCATAGCTTGGCTATTGCAAATAGTGCTGCAATAAACATGAGGTGCAGATATGTTTTCAAAATACTAATTTAGTTTACTTTGGGTATATACCCAGTAGTGGGATAACATGGTAGTTCTATTTTTAATTTTTTGAGGAATCTTCATACTATTTTCCGTAATGGCTATAGTAATTTATATTCTCACCAACAGTGTGTAAGGATTCCCTTTTCTCCATACCATGTCAACACTTGTTATCTTTTGTCTTTTTGATAATAGCCATTCTAACAGGTGTAAGGTTAGATCTCATGGTTTTGATTTGCATTTTCCTGAAGATGCGTGACACTGAGCATTTTTTATGTACTCATTGGCCATGTTTATTTTATTTTGTTGAGAAGTGTTTATTAAATTCTTTTGCCCATTTCTAAATTGGGTTATTTGGGTTTTTTTTGCTACTGAGTTATTTGAGTTTCTTATTTATTTTGGGTATTAAACCCTGGTCATGTGTATAGGAGGCAAATATTTCTTCCATTCTATAGGTTGTGTCTTCATTCTTTTGATTGTTTCCTTAACTGTAAAGAGGCTTTTTTTGATGTAATCATATTTGTCTATTTTTGTTTTTGCTGCCTGCGATTTTGAGGTTTTATCCAAAAAATCCTTGCCTGGATCAGTGTCATGAAATATTTCCCCTATGTTTTCCTCTAGTAGCTTCATAGTTTTTGGTCTTGCATTTAAGTCTTTAATCCATTTTGAGTTGATTTTTGTTTATGATGAGAGATAAGGGTCTAATTTCATTCTTCTGCAAAAGTGTAACATTCCTACCTTTGAAAAATTAGAGATAAATGAGTGGAACATTTGCTTTTGGATTTTTATAAGTGGAATAATTTATTCAAATTGTCAGTGAAATTAAATATTGTGGGCTTAGAAGTCAAACAGATTTATCTTTAAATCCTGACTCTACCTGTCACTTACTATTGTGCAACATTGGACAATTTATGTAATTCTCTGAGTTCTACTATGGCAAACTTAGAGAGTCAAAAATGAATCTTAAATGAGGGAAGGCTCTTTGTACATTGTGGAACACAGAATAACTACTTAATAATTATGAATAGTGGTAATAATAAATATTAATAGTAGTAATACTACTACTATAATAATGACTAATGTTATTGTCAGTATTGGGTTAATTTTTCACTTTGGTTAAGAAGCTTGGTAACCACAGAGCTTTTATGACTAGGAGCATGATTGTTTGTTTTAAACTTTTAGTTATTTTCAAAATTAATATAAACACCATCTCACTTAAGGCAGACTGTAAATGTCTAATGTATTAAAGCCTTACGCAAAACAATGGTTGGAGGTAAAACTGAACTGAGTATGTCAGAGTAGAAAATCTGCCTTGTGAGACATGTAGGACATTGTAATGAAGCGAAATTTGGCTCCAATTTTCTGGAATTAAGTGAATTGAGTAAAGTAGCCAAGTCACCATTATCAGTCAAGAGAAAGTGTACACTTTGGGATAAGGGGGTGATAGAGAATCATGCTGTATTTCTGCCATTGAATACAAACTGTATTTTTACTAGCTGTATTTTTAGTTTAAAATTTAAAATATAAGGTAATCTGTCTCAGAGATTAAGTCAACAAGCATCTTAACAGAATTATTCTAAAATGATTTCTTTAATGATCAATTTGAAAATCAAGTCATTGCAGTAATTGAAATTACAACATGTAACACATAGTGGTGGTGTGAGTTGCTGGGTTTCAAAGGACTAACAGTAACATCATGGCACTCAATGTATGCCCTGATGATAGGGTTGCCCAGGGTGGTGAGGAACTTGTTTATAGTGTATTCATGCTGACCTTGTTGGAAACAAATGAGTTCTGAGAAATTTCAATTATTTAGTGCCTTGAAAGGTAAGAAAAAAATACTTTAAAACATTGAATTGCAATTAGACATATAAATATCTGACATTTTTTTTCTCAGTTATTACCCTGTTTTGCTGTTTGGGCATCTAAACTTCAGAAATAGAGTTAGTTCTTAATAGATCAGGCCACATAGTTCTTAAATTATGTAATGAAATGCGTACGGTCTTATTTATTCTCAGGCAAGGCACTTTACGTTAGTTCTGTGAAACTTCACGGTTTTAATTCCATGATATGAGAGAGGAAGCTTACAGGAGAAGAGCTTGATCTGGATTCTTTTGGAAACTGCTCTATTTTTAGTTAGGCTCACGCGTAAAATGCATCTCTAGAGAGCTGAATGACTTGAATAGTTGAATGGGAGACTTTTAATATTGACGTTTTGGAAGTGGATGAACACCTAAAAGAACAACAATTTTCTTTTTCCTCAATTAATATAAGCCTGCCCCATCTGTTAACATCTAACTAGTGATTTCAAGAGCTACTTAGCATTGCTCCTAGTCAATGACAATGAGGTGAGAGTATTAGTTAAAATGGAGAATACTAGCTGTATTTTTAGTTTTAGAGAAAACTCCATACTGTTTTCCCTGGCTATACTAATTTACATTCTCACCTACAGTGTAAACTTTGGGAGGCTGAGGCGGGTGGATCACAAGGTCAGGAGATCGAGACCATCCTGGCTAACATGGTGAAACCCCGTTTCTACTAAAAATACGAAAAAACAAACAAACAAACAAAAAAAACAGCCAGGCATGGTGGCAGGTGCCTGCAGCCCCAGCTACTTTGGAGGCTGAGGCAGGAGAATGGCATGAACCCGGGAGGCGGAGCTTGCAGTGAGTCCAGATCACACCACTGCACTCCAGCCTGGGTGACAGAACAAGACTCTGTCTCAAAAAAAAAAAAGAAAAAAATGTAGTCCCTTTTCTCTGCATCCTCTCTAGCATTTTGTTATTTTTTGTCTTTTTGATAATAGTCATTTTAACTGGTTTAAGATGATGGCTCATTATAGTTTTGATTTGCATTTCCCTAATGATTAATGATGTTGAGCATTTTTTCATATACTTGGCCATTTGTATGTCTTCTTTTGAGATATGTTTATTCAGATCACATGCCCATGTTTTAATCAAATTATTATTATTATTATTATTATTTTAAGTTCCTTGTATTTTCTGAACATTTGTCCTTCGCTTGAAGCTTGCAAATATTTACTCCCATTCTTCAGGTTGCTTCTTCACTCTGCTGATCATTTCCTTTGCTATGAAGAAGCTTTTTATTTATTTTTTGACATAGTCCCATTTGTGTATTTTTGTTGTCTATGCTTTTGAGGTCTTATTCTTAAGACCTTTGCCTAGACTCGATGTCCTGAAGCAATTCCCCTCCTTTTTCTTCTAGTAGTTTTATAGTTTGGGGTCTTACATTTAGGTCTTTAATCCATTTTGAGTTGATGTTTTGTATATGGTAAGATTTAGAGATCTAGTTTCTAGAAATCCTGCTGGGTATTTATTCAAAGGAAAGAAAATCAGTATATCAAAGAGATATCTGTACTCCCATATTTATTGCAGCACTAGTCACAATAGCCAAGATACGGAATCAATCTAAATGTCCATCAACAGATGAACAGATAAGGAAATGTGGTACATATACCCAACAGAATACTATTTAGCCATAAAAAAGAATGAAATCCTGTCATTTGTAGCAACATAGATGAACCTGGAGGACATTGTGTTAAGTGAAATCGGTCAGTCACAGAAATATAAATACTGCATGTTCTCACTAATATGTAGATTGAATGCATAAAAGTAAAGAGCAGGATTATAGTTATTAGAGGCTGCAAAGAGTAGGGATGAGGGAAAGATACTGAAGGGTTGGTTAATGGATAAAAAATTATAGCTACATAAGAGGAATAAGTTCCAGTGTTCTATAGCACTGAAGGATGAATATAGTTAACAATAATTTATGGCATATTTTCAAAAAGCTAAAAGAATTTTAAATATTTCCAACACAAAGAAATAACAAATGTTTAACGTGATGGATATGATAATTACCCTGACTTGATCATTACACATTATGTACATGTATGAAAATATCACTCTGTATCCCATAAATATGTACCGTTACTACATGTCAACTAAAAGTAAAAGGAAAAAAAAAACGAAGGAAAATTAAGTTACCATCTGAATGACATTTGGGCAAATAAATATTTTATGGGCTATCTTCCCTTTCCACATCATTGTTTTTAGACTATTAATATTTCCTCATGATTTCATGATTTAATTCAAAGGAACTAAATAATCTATTTTAGAACTGCAGGAAAAAAGTTAGAAGGCAATTGACAATTGGTAAATATTACAATGTATGTAATAAAAGATAAATATTATTGTTCACCAAATAACTATGTCGCTAACATTAATTTTGGCCAGTGATTCCTTTGTTTTGTATCAAATGCTAATTATAGGTCTGAATTTGGCAAACAGTTTTAATTTCCTCATGACTATTTTTGTCATAAGATTGGGATAGCTATAGCAGAGTTGGTTGATGTGAAAATACAGTGTGAACCTTGTTGAAAACTGGTTTGTGGTTTTGAGGGAATATCTAAATTGGCCAATAACTTTGCAGGATTAAATTTTATCTTTATGTGGGCTGGTTGGTAGTTCTTAGCTCTTAGCCAGCTTATATCTGTGGAGTTCATTCAGAAAAGTTGTTAGGCAAGAAATAGGATCCATGGTTTGGGCAGAATCTTAACAATTGTGGCAGCAACAGGACTACCAATTTTCTTTCTTATAGGTATTAATCAAATATTTCACAATAGATGGATGGAGTTGTCCTTTGAAAATAACTCGGAATTAGAAACTTTTAAGAGGCTCTGCAAGGAGTATGTCTGTGTGAAAGAGCTGTGGACTGTCATGTCCTCAATGAAGACTTGGATGTCTGAGTTCCCAAATGGATAGACAATACTGTAGGCCAAGGTGACTGTGAAAATCATTTATTGCTTCCCCTGACATTTGATCCCAAAGTTGACCATTCAGTGCAAAAGAAAATTAGTGAGTGATGTTTTTGGTTAAAAATTTTTATTATAGAAGATTTGTGCTACATTTTCAGATTGCTTTCGCTGATTTCCATTCTTAGCAATAACTTAATAGCTTTGACTATGTCTTTTAAAGTGCCTGGAAGTCTTTTTTAATCAAAGAGATCAGATGTTAATGCTCACATTTCTGGGCAAGGCTGTTCTTGGCATGTTTACTATTGCCTGTGACCTGACTGAGGGCGAAACTGATCTAAAACATGAGTGAAAGTAGAGAGTGGGCACACTTCAGGCCTCTGGAGATAGTTCTTGAAATTGAGATGAGACCTAATTCTCTCCTAATATGTAAGAGTTGCCTGAGAGTAAGTGATTTAAATTCCAAATAAATGTAAGCTTTATGAGACAGTGGTTCCCAAGAGTTTCAATTATAAAACTCCCTTATTAACATGATAATCAATTTTGCTTTCAGTATTCATTAATTGATGAAATCCACAACAGAAAACCTCCACAAATTTAGTAACATTTTAAAGTAAATTTATATCATTTATTCTTTATGTCTGTTATATTGTCTATAAATCATACCCCTTTTTATAGTCCTTCACTGGTGTTTGGAATAAAACTCTTTATTGTAGTCTTCAAGGTCCTATGAAACCCATCCCCTGCCTACCTCAGTGATCTTATTCTCCCATCCCATTCCTTCTTTCTCACTGTATGCTTCAACCATACAGGTCTCCTTTCTGATCCTTGAATATATCAAGGTCATTCCAAACTCTACACCTTTGTCCTTGTTTTTACTTCTACTTAGAATGCTTTTCCTCGTCATCACTGCAATAGAGAAGACAATGGTTGGATCTCATTGTCATATAATCTTTATTTCAGAGAGGCCTTCCTGACCACTTAATCTGAACTAGCCTTCCCTACACCTTGAAATAACCCTACTGTTATTTACATATTGCTAGCCTACTGTATGGTAACCATAATGTAGAATATCCTTTTATTAGCTTAAGAAAAACTAATGGGGGCCTATTTATTAACAGTGAATAGTGCTGGCTCCCTTATTTGAGAAGTAGGTATATGTTTTCCTATACTCTAAAATTGCCCATTTTTACCTAAGATTGTGTAGAAAGATAATTTCTGTCAAGTATTTTTTCTTTACATTCAGAAATTTTCTCTGTAATAAGTAAATGGGGAAATGGATTTTCCAATTTATTTTTCTAAAATTGAACATTTGAAAGAACTATTGCTAATCCTGGCATTAAATTATCTGGGGATATTATACCACCTCATGAAATTTTTAAGGAAAGAAAGGATTATCATGTTGGTTTCAGAATTTATAAATTAAGTTACACTAAATTCTTAGGGTGTTAGAAAAATACTCTATATCCAGTATTGTGCTGGAGCCAACTTGCACTGGCTCATGTAAGATCTGCTTGTTAATTTCCAGGAACTTTGCAAACAGGTTGATTTTGCATGAAAGCTTGAAATTGGCCATGGTGGGAGTATTTACACCATGGAAATTGGCAAACGCTACACACCATGGCTTCCTCCGCTTTTCTCCACCCAAGCCAGACAGCCAGAATACCAGCATATCATTATATATAGCTAATATTTCAGAGGCTGACAATTCAATGATGACAAAGGAATAGGGATAGCTCAAATGAGTCAAGTCGCTTTTATGGGTGTTTAGATTTAAAAAGCCACACATTTTGGGCATGAAAGAAAAAGATTTTTAAAAATAAATAATTTGTACACAAAGGCAGATAGTAAAGATTAAAAAAAATCATGATCTTTGTGGTTGCTTCTTATACCTCCCAAGTCAGGCTGCTGAATTATTTCAAAATATTGTTAAAATATATACTCTGGGTTGAGCAGATGGCTACCTTCTGGTACTTGTGATATCGGCTTTCCCCAACTCCCATACTAATAACACAACTCAACTCACTGATTTTATATGCATTATATCTTAGTTACAGTGAGTGTCTTAGACCATTTCTTTGGGGAAAGAAAGGGATTCAAAGAAGAATTAGATGGAGGCCCTGATTAATTATAGTCTATAATGTTGGAGAAAGTAAAGACTAATGAGAGTTGACCTAAGGTTTTCAGTCCTCAATAGGAAAGGACTTAAAGGAAAATTACATGAAAAGGCAGGGCTTTGAGTATTATTCTCTGACAAGACCATCTTTGGGGTTGTACTACACAGAGGCACAAGGTATCTATCTTGCTGCGAGAGCAGAGACAAATTGTGACAATTCAGAAATAATGCTATTTGGCAATATCTGTATGAAGGTATAAATAGTAAGATGTGGTCCTATATTGATTAGTTTCTTTTGAAGTGACACAACAGCCTATATGGAAGCCTCCAGTTTGTTTCTTCAGAGACCTGAAATTAAATGTCCTCCATCCAAAATAAAATTTGAGAAACAAAAACATCCTGAAATCCCGTCCTTCCCATCCCACACTCTACATTCAGTGATAAACAGTTGGAAAGTTTGGATAATTCTAAGGAATTGTGTTAGGGCTCATTGTTTAATCTTTTGCAATATCTTCATCAAACAGATTAATAATCTTATTTATGAGAGGGGAGAAAGCGACTTCAATCATGTTTGGATGGCGCTAATTATAATTATGTTCTTGGAAGAGGGCTTCATTTTTAATCTTGCTGAATTTCTAGGACTTAAATCTTTATAGGGTACTATTAATACTTCCTAAAGGATAATGTGTCATCTGTATGTAGCTGAACAAGTTGTGGTTCTTGATTAGTTTTTATTGTACAAGAAACTATGAACCCATCAAATGGCCTCACTCTCTGACAAAAAAAAAAAAAAAAGAAAAGAAATTTTTAGGAAAGAGAAAACGTAATGCAATTTGACCAAGATTAATTTTCTGAATGCCAAATAAGCCTAGATTCTTGGAAAATTAATCCCAGAATAGTAGATCTCAGGAGTCAATATGAAGGTGCCACTGCTATTCTTGAGACCAGGAGTGGTGAAGGTAATTATAAGGAGGGGTGAAGATAATACTGCAATTAATACTGCTACAACCTTTATCCCCTACCATTTACTGAAAGTAACATTTTATTCCTCGGTCTTCACATATAAACCTATTCAGCTGATATTTTTAAAATATCATTTTGTAGATGATAACATGGAAATTCAGAAAAGTAAGACAACCCACTCAAAATTTTTGAGGTGTCAGGGCTAGGATTGAAACCCAAATATATGTCTCTTCAAAACCTATGTTTTTGTTTTTGTTTTTTTTTTTTAACATTTTAGTAGGCACATACATTCTTACTCTAAAATCAATTTTGTATCCTGCATTTTCACTTAAAAATAATAGAAGAATTTCCTCCATGCCATTAACACTCCTCATAAACAAAATTTTAATGGCAGCATAACGTTCCACTCTAGGATTATTCTTCATAGTAATGAAATTTCAATTGTTTTTATTTTTATGTGTATCTTTGCACTACTTAAAACTGAATTATTACAAAACATAATGGTGAAGGCTAGGCTGGTTAGACTGAGGTCTGGATGAAAAGCCTCCCAGAAATGGGGAGGGAAGACTAACGCTTTAGTCAGTGTTCACTACCGCAGGTCACTCCCCTGGAAGCCACTTGCTAAGGAAATGAGGACTAAGGTCAGCTTGTATTTAATTTTTTAAAAATTAAGACTTTTAATATGACATTCCAAATGTGCTGCCTCCTCTCTGGATTGCTAAGTTCTTTGCTTTCATCTTATGTGGCTTCTGACTTCTCTGATAGTGCTCTGATTGTCCTCCTCCTGATAAAATATTTCTTAATATTTCTTCCACTTTGATTTTGCATTCTTAGAAAGTCATTTGGAACTTCTTATCCCAGCAAATAAATATCCCAATGTTTTAAGTTCTGCTAAAACTTTCTCGTTAACCACTGAATTCCAATTACAAAATTTATGAATATGTTTCCTACTGACTACCTGTATTGAATCCCATACCTAAAACATGTTGCACTTCAAACATCTTGTTCAATAGAGTTGTATCTGCCTGGTTACCTCAGTCTAAGCTGCTTGAAGAAAGAAATATTCTCTAAAAAGCATGGGACATGTGTAAAGAACTGTTGCATTTCTACCAGTTGTTTCAAATAGCTAAGTAGGAATCCAATTCTTTTTTAATCCAAAATATTACTTGAGCAGTATTATCTCCCACCATTTACTGAAGGTAACATTATATTCACCAGTCTTCACACATAAAGCTGTTAGGTTGGTATTTTTTTAAATACTATTTATAGATGACTGGCATCTTAGTAGACACTGGGCATAAAATAAAGAACAAATTTAAAATGATCCCTGCTTATGTGGAGCATTAAGTCTAGCAGAAGAGGCACATAAAAAATAAGTAAACATTTTTTTCTATAATTGTGTATAGTACAATACATCCCTGATATTCTTTTATAAATATAAACAGTAGTAATAGTATTTGTTCTGGAATGTTGAAATTTTATTCATGTTTATTCTTAAACTAAATTACAAACTTTAAAGTATGTATCCATTGGTTTTCTAGCAATCTTTGTGATTAAGAAAAAGTCTAAAGCAAAATGGACTTGTATGATTTTGTTGGTTGGTTGGTTGGTAGGTCACTTATTCATTAAATGATAGAATACTTAAAAAAAATTCTTAGTGCCTTTTTTTTTTTTTTTTTGTTTTGCTGCCATGGACATACTTTGTTCTCCAGTCTTCCAGAAAATTATTGGATTCCTAACAAGAAAATACATTTGTGGTGTGCCAGAGCACTCTATGGCGCTGCTAAACCTCACAAACTATGAAAGAGCTTGTCAGATGTGCCAGTAAATCTTCCCTCTCTTGCCATAGGTCCAAGGATCTTATAAAGGAAGCTATCCTTGACAATGACTTTATGAAGAACTTGGAGCTGTCGCAGATCCAGGAGATTGTGGATTGTATGTACCCGGTGGAGTATGGCAAGGACAGTTGCATCATCAAAGAAGGAGACGTGGGGTCACTGGTGTATGTCATGGAAGGTACGGTTTGTAACTCCAATCCTCTGACATTCAAATATTCTTTTTTCATCTTATCAGCTGCACACAGATGGCAATGCATTACATGGAAAATTCCATTTTTCCTTCTTTTATTGAGAAATTAGTTTGAGAAGAGTTGAAACACTACTTAGATAAAGTGGTTAACTAATTATGGGAAGTGTTTGTATTTAGAGTATTAATATGAGAATCCAGTATTTTTTCAGACATGGAAAAGTTAAAAATGTGAAAAAAGAAATATAGTTTATTACACTGAATATTCTTCATGCAGTCAGGTCACTGAGCAAACATACAAAGCTTCAGCAGAAGCTCAAGATCACTGGAAGTATTTTTGGCCGATAATTTAAGCATCTTCAACTCTCCCCTTAACTTTTAATATGTGACTAGTTTTCCTGCTATGAAGCTTCTGTAAAAAGAAAATGTTTTTCATGTGTATGACAGAGGCAGACAATAAAGGTTGAATGGAATATTACCTGCCTAATTAATAGGAATGATAGCTTGTTTCATACATCCTGTAAAGACTAATATAGAAAGTGTTTTGAAAAAAACTGAGGCACGCACTGTGTAATATGTTTTATGCCTAGCTAATTTTTCATAATACTTCTTTCTGACCTGAAATCTATACTGACATGCTTTTCTTTTGTGGGAAGAAAGTAGCTTGAGATAATGACTGAATCAGCTTGGAAGAAAGTGAGTGCAGAAATACCTATAATGTAAGATGGTGACACATGAAAACCAGTTTCTTAGGTGGTGATTAATGTTTTATCCAAAACATTTGTGTGATAGTGTCCTATAATTATCAAACTTACAGGTCATTCAGAGAAGTGGTGTATTTGGGCAAGTCACTTAATTTCTCTGTTTCACCTAACCAATTTGTAAAAAAAGAAGATATTCTTTCTTTCTGCCAGTGGTTTTCAACTGATGATGATTCTGTCTCCCAGGGGACATTTGGTGATATCTGGAGACATTTTTGGTTGTCACAAAGGGGGTGATGTTGGGGGGACTGCTGACTTCTAGTGGGTAAAGGCCAGGCATACTGCTCAAAAGGGTAGCTGCCCAGAACAAAGATTTATCTGGCCCAAAATGTCATTAGAGCCAACGTATGAAAAATCCTGCATTCTGCCTTCTTTACACGATTGGTATAAAATGAGATAATTTGTATAATGTTTAATGTAAAGTATAGAACACCACAACATAATAATAAGTATTATTTCTATTAAAATCTTGACAGTATATAAGAAATATTCTTTCTTCATTCAGCATGCACCTTTTATTTATTCTTTGTCATCTTTTTGGATATATGTTAGGCATTCAGTTTTTAAGTAGTAATTTCTATCATTTTTTTCCCTTATAGTTTTCACCTTCTATGTCAACAATATAAAATTCTTCCCAGGCCAAAAAATATAAATATTCATTTAGACTTTCTTCTGGTGACAAAACACAATAAACAAAAATACACATAATGTACACTTGGCAGAGAATTGCAAAGAAAAGAGATGAAATTATAGGACAAGGCTATATGTGGATAGTGAGCAGAAAGGATGGAAAAGTGGCAAAAATATATAGAGGTCAAGTATAGAATATAAAGATAGAGGCAATATCTTAAGAACTACTAACAATTAGAAACCACGTTTAAAGCACTTCTGAGATTATATCAATAGCTTCATATGATATTATTTTTCAGATATTATATTGGTCAGCACCTTTTAATAAAACAGCTATTGTATAAAGGAAAGTATACTTTTACTTCATCTGTTTTCCAGTGCTAATTATTGCTGTTTCATTCAAGAAACCACAATTTTGAACACCTGTGGATTCAATGTTCCTTCATCTTAAATATTTCTTACAAAAGTAGATTTCCAAACAACCATGGACATTATTTCTAAAATTTATTCATGTTGTCCCTTCTTACTAAGCCTAACTGAAAGTCTTCTAGCTATATTGGAAGAAGCTTGGGAATAATAGTTAATATTTGTTAATGTTTAGAAAATGCCCAACACATAGAACATGCTTTTTCTAAATATTGTTTACATATAAAATTTATTTAAACCTCAAACAATACTGTGAGGTAAAGGCTAATATTTATTATTCCATTTTGTAGATGAGGAGACTGAAGCTTAATGTGGTTAAGTAATTTGCCCAGGTCTCCCAACTAGTTTATAGTAGAGTCAGGGTTTATACCCAGGCTATTTGGATTCAGAGCTCAAACTGTTAACTATGGGGCTATGTATTAGTCAGGACTCTCCAGAAAAGCAGGACAAATAGGATGTGTGTGTCTATATACAGTGAGAAGGAGATTTATTTTAAGGAATTTGTTTATGTGATTGTGGAGGCTGGCAAGTCCAAAATCTACAGGGTAAGGCCCATTGATCAGAGATGCTGCAATTCGAGTCTGAAAGCCGTCTGCTGACAGAATTTCCTCTTTCTAGGG
Source organism: Homo sapiens (assembly GCF_000001405.40). Classification (NCBI taxonomy): domain Eukaryota; kingdom Metazoa; phylum Chordata; class Mammalia; order Primates; family Hominidae; genus Homo; species Homo sapiens. The sequence goes on from NC_000010.11 coordinate 51,155,777, forward strand.
GAAAGATGGGACTTTTTTCTATTTGACTGACTGGATGAGGCTCGCCCACATTATTGGAGGGTAATCAGCTTTACTCAATGTCTATTCGTTTAGGTGTTACTAAAATATCTTCACCAAAACGTCTACAGTAGAATAATTTTTGAGCAGCTTTCTGGTATTGTGACCTATCCAAGTTGACATGTAAAATTAAACATCACAAGTCAATCGACCCCTTGTCACCTTGGCACCCATACATATCTTCTTAAACCATATTTAATTTTCAAATAAAGACAAGAACAAGGTCATACTTCCACCTAACATGATTCAACAACCCTGTGTACAGCTGCAAATTTACTAACCCTTTCCCCAAAAGAAGACACAAAGTTCTTGGGTGATGTTTACTCACCTCATTGATATCCCGTAGCTTAAATACTATGATGTGAAGTTAACAATACTTAAATACTATGATATAAAGTCAATACATCTTATGCTGCATGATAAGGAGATAAGAGAAGGAAGCAAACGAAGTTATTTGATGCAAGCACACACACACACACAAACACACACACCCGAATGTAACAAAATAAGAAAGAAATACTCATGATAGGTGATATTTCTTCCCCAGGTAAGTATACTAATATTTTCCCCATTGCTTCACGATAATTTTAATAAATTTTCTTTATCTTCCTTTTATTGCTAGATTGACTAAACAGCACGTTATCTTAATTATCCTTTTAAAAACAGGGTTCTAAATAATATATCAATATTCAGAGTCACAGCTTTTGCAATGATGTTGACTGCCTTCAGAGTCACAGCTTTTGCAATGTTGTTGATTGCCTTCAATTAAACTCAATAAAATGACTACAATTTTATAACCTGATGCCAATCTTTCCCTAAATGGTAATTCTAGCCAGCTCAGTGTAACTTTAGCAGATCTTGTGCTAATAGCCTTATGTCAAAATAATTTAAAATTTAAAAAACGATCATTTAAATTTTAAAAAGTTTTAATTGAGGAAATGTTTCATTGTATCATTAGTTCAATCTTCTCAAAATTTAGGTAGCAATGTTCTTGCTATAGATGGATTCTTTGTTATCTGTGAACATTCATATTTATAAAGAGTATACCATGGTAATAATGAATGAATAGGCAGTAAAGGATCTTCCACAAGCTTGCTTACTATCAAGATATTCAGCAAAAGACCCAGGGAGTTTATGTGGAAAATCAGTCCAATTCTTCCTGTCTCTCTTTAGTGAAATTAAGTGGTCTTCATAAAATGCTTAACATGTGCCTTACATATTTTTTTTTGTTTGCACCCCGGGCAGTGTTCCAAGTGTTATTGCATACCTAAATGCCAGAGGTTCTTATGGTTTTAACAAAGAGAATACTCATATGGTAAGACTTTGTTAATTACGATGACTGGGGAAAAGTCATCTGGGTGTAGTATGCAGACATTATCATGTATTTTCAAGCAAAATGAGTTGTGTTGCTTTCAGATACTTAAAAGTGCTACCTAGTAGAAGTTTCGATTTCAAGTTTTGATCAACGTTGTTTTGGAATTAACTTTTTAAGGCAGTAGTGTAAGTAGATTATATTGCTTAAAGCTCGTTTTATGTTTTAATTATGTTAGTATATTTTAGTGAGTCTTACAGAATATTTGGATACAGTTTATTTTCTTAAACAGATAGACTTTGGCCTTAATTATGAGGTAGCATGTGTTAATACTCTTATATTCTTGTTCTCCTTTTTTATTATACAGATAAACTTCAGTCTACATTCATTCAAAATAAAACAAACTTTGACTTAGTGATTTATAATTGGTGATGCATTATTTGGGGTGAATTTTACCTAATATTCTAGTATTGGAAATGTCTAATTTATACCTATTATAATGATTGATTTGCTTAGAGATATTGGTTTTGTTCATATTTTGTGATGTTTCATGGTGGAAGCAGATAAATTTCATTTTAATTTTTAAAATGGCAAGTGTCTGTTTAGTGTCCTTTGACTATTGGTTATTTTAAGTTAAACTTTTTCGATGAAATCATCAATTTTTTTTTTGCATTTCAAATTTTATTTTTGCATTTCAAATTTTATTTAATTTAAATTAACTTGTTTTGTTTTATTCATTTAATTGATATACAATAGTTGTAAGTAGTCATGTAGACATGGTGGTGTTTTGATACATAGAATGTATAGTGAACATATCAGGGTAATTGGCATATCCATCATCTCAAACATTTTTCATTTTCTTTGTGTTGGGAACATTCAATATCCTCCTTGTAGCTCTTTGGAAGTACATAATATATTATCATTGTCTGTACTCATCCTACAATCCTACAGAATACTAGAACTTACCAATTTTTTTCATGAGGTGTTTGTTAATGATAATAACTTTTGTTAGTTAATTATATGCCATGTACTGTTTAGTCACTTTCTAGGTCTTAAATTTTTAATTCTCATAATGACATTAAGAGGTAGGCATTCTGTTATCTACATGTTAATAAATGGTAAACTGATGCCTGGAGAAGTTAATAACTTGGTCAAGACTATGCAATCAGTATGTTGAAATACACGTCTTAGCCTTGGAGTCCCCATGCCTAAGGAATGTGCGGTGCTAACTTTTGAAGTACAGATTAGAAGTACTGTTGTTACAAGTTTATTATGTATATTCAAACTTGAGGAGCCCATAAAAGATGCATAGCTTTAAACCATGAGATTAAAAAATGATCTGACTATTTGCAAGAAATAAAACTTGAACAGCAATAGTTCAAAAAGAAAAAAAATTCAAGATATTTCCTATAAGTACTTCTTAGGCCTCTCTGCATCCTTTGAATATTAAACTTCATACTGACCTCTCTGTAGATCATCTGGCATCCATTCCTCTTCTCTTATTAGTTCCTTTTTTCTTATTGAAAGAATGGCTATGATTTGGCTTAATTCTTGGTCCACCTCTGTGTCCTTATGGTTTAGAATTAAATTCCACCATGTACCTTGGAGGCCTTATTTTCTATCTGCAATCAATAGCATTGATTTTGTTTTTCTCACAGGTTTCATTTTTATTTTTATTTTTTAAGAAGGAACAATTCTTTCAAGTTATTACACAAATGACTCTTTTAATGGAGCATTTGTATACTAACTCTAAGTGTTATGTGATTATTCACATCTACTCTCAAAAGACTAGACTCATTTCTGTTGTTATTGAACTGAGACTTCACTTACAAAGATTTGCTTCATTTTCCAGTAAGTTGGTTGATACAGTGTGGTCTGCCTATTATGCTGATGTTCAACACTATTTGTTATTCAGGGTGGACATGAATCATGCTAGCCACCGTCGACAGTAAACTTATACCGCTTCAAACTACAAGTTCTATTTTCCCTCCCCAAACATTTTTTACTGTCTTTATACAATTAAATGATGTAATGAACATTGACATTCAAAGAGGGATTTTATATAAAATTGAACATTAAAAATGAGCCTTTCGATGTCAGATGGCATTCAGAACACTACCTGAGAGTGTGAAGGAATTGAATGCATTTTCATATGGATTAGCTCTCAGTAAATTTAACATGAGAAATGGGCCATTTTATTCTTTACAATCAGATGTTGCCTTTTGGCCTTATGAGTTTTTCGTGTTAATCCAAAAGCTATCTTTAGAATCGTTGAAATACAAATGTACTTAAAGTTATACTTGCAATTCCTTTATGGGACCAAGCTTATAATGTTAATGTTAAAGAGAAAGCTTGTGTACTACTTATATAAAAACAAAACAAAACACCTGATTATAAGAGGTTATCACAAATAAGGAGAGTCTTGAAGCACTAAATGTGAATATTAAAATATGTTTTAGTTATTGAGGCAATGGCAAAGGAAGGGATGTGAAATATTTAGATGCCATGTGGGGTATCGTGTTCATTTTGGGGTGCCATGCTTCAGAAAGGACTTTAATATACTTGAGCAAGTTCAGGAGGCATAAAATGTATTTAAAATAATTGATAATATTTCATGGACAGATTTAGGAAGAAAGGATGACTGTTTTTAAGTGTGAAAACATGGTCACATGGAGGAAAAAAGGGAAGCATTCTGCATAAATCTAGATGGCCAAAGAAGAAATGCAGGTTATAGTGAAGTCTAAATTGAATCAACTTGAGAATCAACATTTTGCTAATTAAAAATGGACCAAAAGTGAAATGGGCAGCCTGATGGTGATGGCAAGAACCTTATCTCCTGAGGCATTCTAGCAGTGACTACATCGCATCTGCTTAGAGAAAGTTTGTGTGGGTTGAGGAGGGATTCCTTGTGGCTGAACCATAACATATCTCTTGTATCTTCTGCAAACTCCAAGACTCTGAGTCTGTGAATCTGTGAACTAATACTCTACAAGTTAGCTTATAAGAGCCTAGCCCTCAAAAGATTTCTTCTTGGAAATCCTTTCCCTTATGTAATGTATGTGTTTAGTTTTGAATATTCTTTTACTTATATAAATCTAATAATTTTGCACGTATTCTTCTACCACTTGTTTTTGCTCAATATTATGTTCCATTGTATAACCCAATTTATTGATACTTTCTGCTATTGATGGTATCCTGAATAATTTTCTGTTATTTTGCTCTCTCAAATTGTGCTTGTTTAAACAGTGTTAACGGTGAATCCTTATAAACATGTTCAGTAATTTCTCTAGTGTATATAGATAGAAGTAGAATTCCTGGGTCTTAATGTATGTGAAACTTCAAATTTGTTAAATAATATCAAATTACTTTCCAAAGTGGTTTTATCTGATTATACCTGATTGCAACTTATGCCTAAGTTTTCTGATTGTCTCTCATATCCAGGACAATTTATATTGACAAACATTTAAATTTTACCTATCTGGTGGATGGGAAATGGTACCTCGTGATCTTAATTTTCATCTCCCTAGGTATGAATGAGGTTGTGACTATTTGTGTTTCTTCCATGAAAAGTCTGTTATTGTCCTCTCCCTTTTTTACTGTTGGGGGGACAGCTTTACATACATTGGAACTTAATCCTTATTGAAGTTACATGTATGTATCAGTCTTCCTCTTGGTTTGTGCTTTTTGTATGTTTTTAAAGAAATCCTCTTAACCAGTGTTCTTCATGCTCGTGTGTGTGTGTGTGTGTGTCTGTGTGTGTGTGCATGTGTGTGTCCATGAAGGTACATTCATAGCTTAGTTATGTGAGGTTCATGGCTTAGATTATCTTTACATTGATAATCGAAAGAGTAATTGTCCTTTTCAAAGTAGGAGGCTTGAAAAGCCATACATTTTTGCTTTTCTTTTTTCAATATATTTTAAGAATTCTTTATAAATTGTCCTTCGGGACAGTAAATATGCTTTTGAAAATACTTGATGACAGCAATTTCTTTTTCTGTGAGAGTGGATTTTATATTTGGAAATAATCACAAGTCATTTAGTGACAGATTTGATGAATAGAGGTAGGTGATTAAGCTGACTAATACAGTTTTTTTTTTGGCTAAAATATATAAGAATGTGTGTATATGTACCATTAGAAAGTAATGGTATTTGTTGTACAAGTTAAGAATTGACCAGGTGTTTTACTCTAAAACATCATTATTGAAAAAGTGACATATTTTGAAGGGTAATGTTCTTAATACTCATCTGGTTAATACGTCCTTGTGAAATGTTTAAAAATATAGCCTTATCTCATTGTGGTTCTACTAATGTACAGTTCTCCAATTTTTTCTAAGGTATTACTGGTGGAAATGAGTTTATTACACTAGGAAGAGGCATAGTGTGGCTTTTCTTATTTTGGAAGCTTCCTGAAAGCTAAAAAGTTTGAAAATTGCTGTACTTGTTTTGAGATGATGGTTGAAATGCCATCTTTTTTTTCAAAAAATCAATGTGACATTAATAAGGCAAATCGTAGGTCACATTAAAAAGGTACACATTTTTCCCATCTTATTCTTACTTCAAGCAGTTATTTATTTTATTTCTATGCTTTTTCATTTTGCTAAGATATCAATCTCTCCATTCTTCACTTTGAGAGAATGGCAGATTGGAAACTTTAAAAGTGTATTTTTTTGGTAAAAATTAGAAACAAAACAGCATAGCTGAAAAAGTAAAAAGTGAGAAAAAAATGTGGATTAGTACTTTTTTGGCAATGGTGTAATAACACATTGATTTCTTGCTAATGAGGTAAAATTTACTTCAACCATCATTACATAACTGTTGAAGAGTTTGCATGCTGAACACTTCACACAATCTACAATTGTTATGTGTTCATTTTAAAAAACACATAGATATATTTCTTCAGGGACTTTAACATGATTTTCAGTGATTTCTTTGTGGAGCTGGATAGACTAATGCTTTTAATATCCATCCCTCTAATGAGAAAGCCTTGAATGTTTAGTAATTGTTTTGGCACACTCTCCAAGGGCAGGACAGATAGGAGCCACTTCCCAGCACAGGGGAGCTTACTGGTGTGGCTACCATGGCAACAGCCTACCCCACCCCCACCACAGAGAACATCCGAATTGGTCTCTGAAGTTCTTATTTGAATTCTCCCATGTCTCCACATTTGAGAAACACAGGCTGTAATTGCACCTACTTCATCTGAATTTAACCACTGTAGCTTTGGAAGGCTGCAGTTTTAATCTGATCTTTATATTTAGGCCCTTCTATAAACTCCTTTCTGATAAAATGAAAATATTTTTGTGCTAAGGCTCCAAAAGTAGTACACAGAGATTTAGAATTATGGTGGATGACGTAAAATGGTATTAAAATCAATCTGAGAATTCACACTTTATGTGTATTTAAAATACCAAGGAATTATTATTGAGTATATAGTTACATTAATGATTTGTGTAGAATCTTTTATTTGTCTAATTCATCCAACTTTACTGAAGTGGATTTTTTTCCTTGTATCACAAAACACCCATAAGTTATTCATAAGAATATATAGGAGGAGATGCTTTTATTTTATTTTAAATGTTATTTTATTAGTTTTGAGACAGGATCTCACTCTTTCCCATGCTGGAATTCAGTGGCTGGATCATAGCTCACTGCAACCTTGAACTCCTGTGTTTAAGAATCCTCCTGCCTTTGCCTCTTGAGCAGCTGTGACTACAGGTTCATGACACCATACCCATCTATTTTTTTGGATTTTTTGTAGAAATGGGCTCTCACTATGTTACCCAGGCTGTTCTTAAATTTCTGGCCTGAGGTGATTCCCTTGCCTCAGGCTCTCAAACTTTTGGGATTACAGAAATGATCCACCAAGCAGACCTGCAAATGCTTTTAAACCCGAATAGTAATCCCAGCTACACAGGAGGCTGAGGCAGGAGAATCTCTTGAATTCGCGAGGCGGAGGCTGGGGTGAGCCGAGATCACACCGCTACACTCCAGTCTGGGCAACAGGAGTGAAACTCTGTCTCAAACAAAAACAAAAAGAAAAACAGAACACAAATAGAGTATTTACTTTCTATTTGCTGTTCACGGTCTGTGTAGTTGAACAAGAACAGTTAAGTTACTCTGTACACTGTTCAATTTCAATATAAAAGCTAATTAAATTACTTTAGTCATTTATTAATAGCAAAGCTTTATTAGAAAAAGCATCTGGTCAAGGTGGTCAAACTCCTATGAAGATGGTTTTCCATTTCACAAATATGGGAGGGCAGCCAAGATGGCCAAATAGGAACAGCTCCGGTCTACAGCTCCCAGCATGAGCGACGCAGAAGACGGGTGATTTCTGCATTTCCATCTGAGGTACCGGGTTCATCTCACTAGGGAGTGCCAGACAATGGGCGCAAGACAGTGGGTGCCGCGCACCCGCACCATGTGCGAGCCGAAGCAGGGCGAGGCATTGCCTCACTCGGGAGGCGCAAGGGGTCGGGGAGTTCCCTTTCCTAGTCAAAGAAAGGGGTGACAGACGGCACCTGGAAAATCGGGTCACTCCCACCCTAATACTGCGCTTTTCCGACGGGCTTAAAAAACGGCGCACCAGGAGATTATATCTCGCACCTGGCTGGGAGGGTCCTACGCCCACGGAGTCTCGCTGATTGCTAGCACAGCAGTCTGAGATCAAACTGCAAGGCCGCAGCGAGGCTGGGGGAGGGGCGCCTGCCATTGCCCAGGCTCGCTTAGGTAAACAAAGCAGCTGGGAAGCTGGAACTGGGTGGAGCCCACCACAGCTCAAGGAGGCCTGCCTGCCTCTGTAGGCTCCACTTCTGGGGGCAGGGCACAGACAAACAAAAAGACAGCAGTAACCTCTGCAGACTTAAATGTCCCTGCCTAACAGCTTTGAAGAGAGCAGTGGTTCTCCCAGCATGCAGCTGGAGATCTGAGAACGGGCAGACTGCCTCCTGAAGTGGGTCCCTGACCCCTGACCCCCGAGCAGCCTAACTGGGAGGCACCCCCCAGTAGGGGCAGACTGACACCTCACATGGCTGGGTACTTCTCTGAGACAGAACTTCCAGAGGAACGATCAGACAGCAGCATTCACGGTTCACGAAAATCCGCTGTTCTGCAGCCACCGCTGCTGTTACCCAGGCAAACAGGGTCTGGAGTGGACCGCTAGCAAACTCCAACAGACCTGCAGCTGAGGGTCCTGTCTGTTAGAAGGCAAACTAACAAACAGAAAGGACATCCACACCAAAAACCCATCTGTACATCACCATCATCAAAGACCAAAAGTAGATAAAACCACAAAGATGGGGAAAAAACAGAGCAGAAAAACTGGAAACTCCAAAAAGCAGAGCGCCTCTCCTCCTCCAAAGGAACGCAGCTCCTCACCAGCAACGGAACAAAGCTGGACGGAGAATGACTTTCACGAGTTGAGAGAAGAAGGCTTCAGACAATCAAACTACTCCGAGCTACAGGAGGAAATTCAAACCAAAGGCAAAGAAGTTAAAAACTTTGAAAAAAATTTAGACGAATGTATAACTAGAATAACCAATACAGAGAAGTGCTTAAAGGAGCTGATGGAGCTGAAAGCCAAGGCTCGAGAACTATGTGAAGAATGCAGAAGCCTCAGGAGCTGACGTGATCAACTGGAAGAAAGGGTATCAGTGATGGAAGATGAAATGAATGAAATGAAGTGAGAAGGGAAGTTTAGAGAAAAAAGAATAAAAAGAAACGAACAAAGCCTCCAAGAAATATGGGACTATGTGAAAAGACCAAATCTACGTCTGATTGGTGTACCTGAAATTGACGGGGAAAATGGAACCAAGTTGGAAAACACTCTGCATGATAGTATCCAGGAGAACTTCCCCAATCTAGCAAGGCAGGCCAACATTCAGATTCAGGAAATACAGAGAACGCCACAAAGATACTCCTCGAGAAGAGCAACTCCAAGACACATAATTGTCAGATTCACCAAACTTGAAATGAAGGAAAAAGTGTTAAGGGCAGCCAGAGAGAAAGGTCGGGTTACCCACAAAGGGAAGCCCATCAGACTAACAGCAGAACTCTCAGCAGAAACTCTACAAGCCAGAAGAGAGTGGGGGCCAATATTCAACATTCTTAAAGAAAAGAATTTTCAACCCAGAATTTCATATCCAGCCAAACTAAGCTTCATAAGTGAAGGAGAAATAAAATCCTTTACAGACAAGCAAATGCTGAGAGATTTTGTCACCACCAGGCCTGCCCTAAAAGAGCTCCTGAAGGAAGCACTAAACATGGAAAGGAACAACCGGTACCAGCCACTGCAAAATCATGCCAAATTGTAAAGACCATCGAGGCTAGGAAGAAACTGCAACTAACAAGCAAAATAACCAGCTAACATCATAATGACAGGATCAAATTCACACATAACAATATTAACTTTAAATGTAAATGGACTAAATGCTCCAATTAAAAGACACAGACTGGCAAATTGGATAAAGAGTCAAGACCCATCAGTGTGCTGTATTCAGGAAACCCATCTCACGTGCAGTGACACACATAGGCTCAAAATAAAAGGATGGAGGAAGATCTACCAAGCAAATGGAAAACAAAAAAAAGGCAGGGGTTGCAATCCATTTCACAAATATGTAATGGTATGTTTATTAAGGAAAACCAAAGCTTCCCACAAAATCATAAATGAAGTCAATGTGTATAAAATTTTCCTTTTAAAATTGAGCAGGCTTCTTTAAAAGATCTTTTATTCCCCATTGGAAAAAAGAAGGGTGTGAACATTTGTTTCCTACAGAGTTTAATTAATAGCCTATTGTAATAACTTTCACTTAAAGCCATTCACACATACTCACCAAATAAGTTTTTTTTTTTCATTTTTATGGCTGGAAGAACATAATTCAATGTTACACTTTATATTCGGATCATGCAGATCATATTTACAGAATATTATTTTACATTACTTTTCTATTACCTTGCATTTCGTCTTGTTTTAGAATATTTAATACCTTCAGCAACATTGCTGATACAGATTTATGCGATCCTTGATGGTTCACTCAATGACGGTACATGCCCTCAATTTAAAGCCACTTAAAAAAAAAAAAAAGATTTGTAATAACTTGCTCCGATATTACCAGTGTGAAGATTTTTATTGACTCATCCTTTTGGAAATATGCACGTGCAAATGTTTATACTTTGTGCCAATATGTGTATATGAATTTACATGACATTGCCTTTTCCCTGAGTTTATATCATATTTCAGGTAACGGTGGGTTGGTGGTATAGCATGTAAAGAATGTTATCAATGATTAAATTTAAATTTACAAGAAAAACATGATTAATAGCGATAACTATAGGTATTGATGATAAAGCTCCCAAGTAAATTAAAAATGAGTCTTTAAAGAAACCACAATGGTTTTTCAGCATCATTTTGCATACTATCCTCTTCAAAGAAAATTAAGATGCCTTTTATGGAAAGTCTTGAAATTTCTCTTCATTTAATCCTGTGGATTTAAATTATTTATTTATTACATCAATTCTAGTACTCAAAGGCACATGAAATAGGAAAAATATTTTGGAAAATTTTTCTTCATGTTGAGTAACCAGTTACATCTATACAAAGCAGGCATTACTAAACTATGGTCTTTCCTCTTCTCTTAGATGGTGTGTTTCCACCTGCAGAAAGGGTGGTAGAGATAAAGCGGGGTGTGACTTTGACAAGCGTATTATATGAATATTTGAAACTCTTTGTATATTCCTCAAAGAGAGATAATAGCAAAGAAAGTATATAATGAACTTCCTTTTGCAATATATAGTCTTTATTCTCCTTTATTATAATTCATTTGATTATTTATTAGTTCTTACATTCAAGAAACACCTACTCAGTGATGATTATGTCTCAGTGGACACTGAGGACATTACAGTGAACAACACATACACAGTGTCTCTTCTAGAGCTCACATTCTGGTGATGGTGGCAGGGGAAAAAGATAAAACTGTGTACGGAAATAAGCGAAATACTTTCAGATGGTAATAAGTGCTATGAAAAAATAAATACAACAGGGTGATGAAAGAGAATCGTGGAGGCAATGACTGTGTGGGTCAGGGTAGACTTCCCTGGGAGGGTAGCATTTGAGTTTGAACCTGAATGACAAGAAGGAACCAAACAAAAGTGTGGGTAGAGGATTCCAGATGAAGTAAACACAATAGAAAGGCAGTAAGGTACGGAAAAGTTTGACACATTAAAAGAGACAGAAAACATGAGGCCAGGTTGGAATGGTTGGTAGAGGCAATGTCATACATAGGGCCCTGTAAGTAGACTGCTTTTCTAAGAGATTTCGAGAGCATTAGAGGAGTTTAAGTTGAGATGAGACATGATCTGATTTATGTTTTATGAGTAGAAAAATGGATTCCACTAATAATCTTGGAAGAAAAATTGGATTGTAGAGTAGTGGGAGAAAAAGGGATACCACTTGGGAAGCCATAGCAGTAATCGAAGCAAAATATAATGGTGGCTTGTGCCAAGATGGCAGTGTGGGAGATGAAAGAAATGTGGTATAATTTGGCAGTGCATGGATTAGATGTGGGTGTGAGAGAAAGATAAATTAGGAATGACTTGTATGTTTTTATGTAATTAAGTGAATGGTGGTACCATTTTCTGAGATGGAAAAAAGTGAGATACTTCATCTTTGAGAGTACAAGACAAGATTTCTGTTCTGACGGTAGATATACATTCAGATATATATTCCTGAAAGCTCAATTGAGAGATGAGAATGTGGAGGTAGTGTTCTGCTGACTAAACCAGGCATAGGGGAAAGATTGATGAAAGTTGCTCTCTTCTAATTAAAGTAGTTGTTTTACATACATCAGATTAAATGGCAAATTTGGATATTTAACAGATTTCATAGATATGGATATTCATAAATATTTTCAATTCTTTATGAGAAATATTTTTAGTAAACTGAAAATTCCTTCCTATTTTATGCAAACTAATATTCTTAAAGCAGCAGTTCTGAAAGTGTGATCAGGGACACTTTTAGGGGATCCTTGAGGTCAGAAGTATTTTCATAATAGCACTATCTTTTTTGTCTTCTTCTGTCTCATTTTCTCAGTAGTATACAGTGAAGTTTTTTAGAGGCCACATGGTGTGTGGTATAGCAGCAGACTGAATGCAGAAACAGAGAATACAGCTGCCTTCTGTTAAGCTAGACATCAATTAGATTTCTCCAAAGTGTAAAACAATGGCATGCTTTGTATTAACATTTTTGTTTTAAAAATGTAGTTAATTTTAATTAAAATGTATTATTTAACATGTAATAGATTTATTATTATTTTTAAGTGAATAAATATTTGAAACATTTCTCCATTTTAATATCAAATAGAGTAAACATCCATAGAAGTAACCCACGTAATCAAAAGCTTCTTAAGGTTTTCACTAATATTTAATAGCATAAGGAAGTCTGGAGACTAAGTTTGAGAACCATGGCCTTAAGCCATATGACTTGAGGGCATATATGACCATGTGGTTGTTTGTTTCAGAAAGTAGAATGTGATTAGTTTAAGGTTCAACATATCAGATACTGATGTTTCTCCTCCACATCACACATATCTAGAACCGTGTTACAAAAGAAATGTCTCTTAAATAGTCTTGATAAATTAGAAGCAGAAAAATTTCTGTAAAGGCTAACATTTAAATCTAGTGCAAATAGCCAACACAGATCAACAATAGGCAAGTCAATTCCATTGAAGTGCTTATTGTTCTGTTAATTACATTCCATTTCACAGTATGAAAGGTATCCTTGATACATTTTGTGGGTTCTGTTTGTACACTTTCTGATGTTCAAGATTTGGGAATTGGATTGGATTCCCCAATGCTTATTCTGAGTTAGCGTCGCAGAACATTGAAATTTTATTTTTTTGTAGTTAGACTTACAGTTCTAAAGGAATAAAGGAAAACAGATATTCTTTGAATTCAACCAGCATTTTGGAGAGAGGAAATGGTTTTATACTGTGCTTATTTTTCACTTAAAATAATCTTAGAAGATATAACATTTCATCTTTTGAAGTCTCAGTACAATAACTTCTCTAATACCATAATGTTTTCAAATTAAACAAGATAATACATTACTGTATACATGGTCCCAGTGTAGTACTCTCTGTGTATATGTAAACCTACATTGTGAGCTACCGATTGGATGTCTCTTTTAAAGTTTTCTTGCTAAGTAAATGTTTGAAATGTCTACATATTTCTCTTGTGATGCATTTTGCAAAGAGCTTTTTCATTTGCTAGTACCTTTGCTTGTTTTTGATATTTCAGCACCATTAGCATTTTCTTGGGATAAGTTAAATTTTTTAAAATGCTGTTTTTACTTCTTTTTCTTGGAAAAACAACTTTCTTCTTTCTTCTCTTAAAAAGACAGCTCTTATGAGGTAAGCAACATTGGAAGATAAAAGGCTTACTCCAACACATACGACATTATATTGTTATGAGTAATTAATTTTAGGGTTTGTTTTCTATGCAAATTATATAGTTCAGTGATGCCTTAGGATGGAAGACTACAGTGAAATGAAGAGAGCTAGGTTTTGGAACTTGGCAGACATGAACTTGAATTCTGATTCTGCCATATAACCAGCTAAGTAATCTTGAGGAAATTATCTAACCTTTTTAGTCATTCCTTCCTCATTTGTCACATAATATATGTCAAGCATCAAGTCCTGTGTCTGGCACGTAGGAGTGGCCGTTACCCATTGATCTGCCCTGCTTCCCTACTAGATTCTGCACTCACCACTTCATACTTCTGGCTCAACTTCCTCGAATGCTCGCTTGTCTGTGTGCCTTGTAAATTTTCCTCTGCTTGGCATACATGCTCTGAAGCACTATTGCTCTTCAGAGTTGATGTAGAAGTTGGCTCTTCTAAGAAGTCTGCTTTGACACCTTCTGACTGGGCTGGACTGTTGTCTCTGAAGTTCCTAACAGCCTCTGTGTTCCTCTCTATAAGCACACTGGTCAGATTGGGTTTTGTTCATTTCGTTTCTCCAATTTGTTAATTCATGAAATGCTTATTTTGTATAAAAATCGTTCCAGACAGAATACGAAGTTTCTATTAACATGGTGCTTATATTTTAATGAGGAAAATACATAACTTAAAAAGTAAACAAATATTTATAGTGTGTTGATATAATACAGGGAATAAACTCCCATGATTTATGGCTTTCAGGCTTGTGGTCATTTCTCTGCAAGACAATTGGGACCAAATAGCTAAATTTTATAACACTCAATCAGTAGTTCACAACTGATTTTTTCAAATGTCTGGGTATACACACACACACACACACACACACACACACACAACCAGGAGGTAATAATGGCTATGAAAACCAAAGCATGGCAAGGGGATAGTGTGACATGTGGGATGGGGAAGGAATTGCTATGTTCTGTAAGGTGCTCAGGGAAGGCCTCTGTAAGTTGAGCATTGAGCAGAGACATGAATGAGGTGACAATAGATAGTGCTGATATTTGGGGAGAAGAGCATTTTATGCAGAGGGAATAAATGTGCAAAGCTCTGAGTCAGGATTATGATTGGCATGTTCAACAAGCAGTATGGAAGCCAGTGTGGCATGAGTGGGGTGAGTCATTGCAGGGGTGGGGGGGTGGGGGAGTTGGGTAACAAAACCAATTAAATAACTGAGCTCTGATGGTATTGTAGCCCATTCTAAGAATTTTTATTATTATTTTTAAAAATCAAGATGGGAATCCACAGGAGGATTTGAGCAAAAGAGCACCATGCTCTAAGCTGTGGCTAATAAGGGACTTTCTTCCAGCGATGTAGAATAAACTTTCTGGTACCAAGCACACATATCAGCTAGAAAGCTATTAAATAGTCAAAGAGGCAGATAATGATGACTCGGACTAAGGTCATTATCCAAAAACATTGAGGTGGTAAGAAATGGTCAAATTTAGGAACTGTTTTGAAAGCTCAGCCAATAGTATTTGCTAATGGATTGGACTGGAAATGGTATGTGAGACACAGTGAGGAGTGAAAGATGACTCCAAGTTTTTGGCCTAAACAGTTGGAGTAATGGAGTGGCCTTTTACAGAAATTGAGAAGACTAACTGACAAAACTCTCAGGGAATACCTAGGGTACAGTAATAATCGTGTGCTTATTTATTGTATCAGGGATTGGCTAAATTGTGGTAACAAAGAGCTCTCAAAATATGATGATTCAAATAAGATTTAGGTTTCTTTCTCTACTGTGCAATATCCTGGAAGTGAATGGAGGAGGCTGGTGGAGCAGCTGTACCTCTTGTAGTCATTCAGGCACCCAGGTTTATTCCGTCTTATTTGATCTGGTGTCACTCAGCTGTTGTCTTTTCTACATGGTTGAAGCTGGCTCATTACCTTGTTGATATTTATCCTATGGGAAGGGAAGAAAGATAAATGACAGGGCAGATAGCTTCATGCCCTAAGTTGCACATTTCACCTGCCTTCATCCTCCTGTCTAGTACTTACTTACAGAAAGGCTAGAAAAAGTAATCTCGACAAAGGCAGCGATCTGTCCAGTAAAAAATTTGTGGGGATTTCTTTATTGAAATGAAGGACAGAATAGATTCTAGGGGACATTTTTGCCATATTTGTTTCACTTTCCTAAGCAACTTAAGGTCAGGAACTATTATGTTCTCTCTAAGCCCACTGTTCCAGCACACAGCACATGTTCAGTATATGCTGGTTTCCTTAATAATAAATTAATTTTATGGAACAGAAATTGTTTTATACTTGATAGTGTGTTTCCTCCTGTGTACTTCTGAATTAATTGCACAACTCATTTTTTATATTTTAGGCTATATTTTAATGTATCTTCATTACTAATGAAGAAAAAGTGTAGCATTTCAATTACCTTTTAAGTCAATGTCTTAAATTTATTTATTATTTGGGATGAAGTCATGATGAGCAATTGTTTATGTTTTTCAAAGGGTATTTACCTAACACATTTGCTTCCAAATAACAATTCCAGAAATTATATTCAGTGATGAAATAATGAGTCACTTTCATATAATAAAATTGCATCACCTATTCCAAATTGCCTAACTCTCAAAATCTCATCTAACACTCTATTTAAGCTGAATGCTGCTGCTGTCTTCGTAGTACTATTTAGCTTAAAAATTAGAGAAACTGTATTCGGGTTTAACATTTTTAAACAAAAGGGGCATAAGCTATATAACATTTAAGAATTAATCTTGGAATAAAGACTATTTTGAAGATAAAATTTAATAATAAAACAAATTGTTAAGACAATAAAGTATTTTTTAGTAAGGCAACTGAGAGTTGACACACAGAACATATTATGAATCTTTTGGAAAGCTTGGATTTGTGCTATCAATATGAAAGGAAAGTACCTACTTTTTAATAATACACCATTTTGAAAATTGGCCCTGTCTTTTTTTCCAAGATCAATTGATCTATCTGTATACCTATGTCTGTCTATGTATGTATGTATGTATGTATGTATGTATGTATGTATGTATGTATGTATCTATCTATCTATCTATCTATCTATCTATCTATCTATCTATCTATCTGTGTATATTTTGTTAGGTCATCATATGTGTGGAAAACTGCACACTATTTTCCAAATACCTTCAATGGGAATGCTTGAACTTCTGTGCACATCTTCAGGCCTAGGTCTTTGAATCAAATATACATTCTTAATTTACTAATACAAAGAATTAAATGAAGACATGGATATTAAGGAACATTTTTAGTCTAATGTATTCTAAGTTCCATGTGGGTAGAAACCTTGTTGGTGTTCCCCGATGCCTAGCCCTGAGCTGACACATGGATGGTGTTTTATTCACTTAACAAATAATTAGCATTTGAATCTTACTTGAATGCCAAATATACTTCTTGACACTACAACTCCACAAATGATTTGCAGTTTATTTCAGGGACTACATCTGCTCGTTTTTAAAAACATATCACATACACAAAACTTTATTTAATTCTTTTCACATCTAGAATTATCTTCTTATAATTATAATAAACAATACAGCTTTTGAAAACATTTAAGCAGGATGTTATTAAGCATCTGGCTTATTTTGAATATTATCTACCTGTTTTCCCTCTATGAAATTTTTATTCATTTAATTGTAAAAACTCACACATTTAGTTTGTTAAGGTTTCTAAAACTTCTGTTGAAGTATAATAAGCCAGAGCTTTAAAAAATTATTTGTTTGACCTAACATAATATCACTTGGACCATGTAAATTTTCAATTAAGATCATTAGAGTTGGGCAGTGTGTGTGTGTGTGTATTTGTGTGTGTGTGTGGTGTGTGTAAATTCTCAACTTTTTAAAGATAGTGAGGAGATTCACAAAACTATGTGTAAAACTGTCATCAATGTGGAAGTATATGTCATTATGCTCAAGAGATAATTTATTGAGCTAATCTTCATCCTAAGGAAATAAAAGAAAATTAGAAAAAACTTTGAATAGAAATGTTTAGCTTTCGATGTCTTCTAATCACTTGCCTGTAACTAAAATGAAACTTAAACTTTTATCATGCATGACAAGTGTATTCCTTCAATTCCTCATACCAAATGTATTTCTTTCTAAAAAATACCCATCCATATCATAAAATTACTAGATTTAAAAGGAGCTAAAAAAATAATCAAATTTTTCTTGAGGTTTGTATTTAAAATCAGGCTGTATGTCATAAAAAATTTGAAAGAACTGGATTTCATAAAACCTTTTACTATTGAGAGTGTTTTTCCTTATGCTTAAACTAATACAACCTAAAACTCTATTTTTAAATTAAATTATTTTTATTGTTAAAAAATAGAGAACTGGTTACGACTTCTGTTCAATTATCTTTGTTCTCAAGAATGAGGGAGAAAGAAGTATCCCTCAAGTATATTTTTGACTTAGGGAGGCAATTAATGTTACTAGTCAAAAATAGATCTTAAATGTTTTCACCACAAAAATATAAGTATGTGAGGTAACGGATATATTAATTAACTTGGTTTAGTTATTCCAAAATGTTCACATATAATAAAACATCATGTTGGGCACTATAAGAATATATATTTTTTCAATTAAGAAAAGAATAAGCCTTTGTTATTTAACCTTTATGAACTTATGCTTCATTCTCTGTAAAATAATTAATAAATAATGCCTTCCTGCAAGGGTGCTTGTGATCATGAATGAAATATTTAGAATTCATTTGTAACATTGTAAACATTTTATAAATAAATACTAAATTCTTTTTAGCATGGTAAATCCAAATATTTAACTTTCTTCTCATCTCCTTACAATGTCTATGTAATCAAATTTTTCATTATATCAGTCTCAAGAAGTGAGAACTTAAAATTAAATAGGGTGAATGTTTGACAATTGGCTTCGCAAAGAAGAAAAAGAAAGAAAAAAGTTTTGATTTTTAGTCTTTGCAAGTTTTTATGGTGTGAATATTCCCATCATGGTCAATTTCAAACTACCAATATGATGCCTGAAAATGCAGAGTTGCTGATGTTTTTGAGTCCGTTGTGGTGCACCCCTGGGTATGGTCTTAAAGAACTGCTTAATCATATTGATAATGGCAGAATTGGTATGTGAATTTGCATATCACACTTTATTTATGATCCATTAACTGTATTTTCCATCAGACAGTTTATTGATTGTATTTTTGAAGTCAATTCTGTTCAGCTGTGAAATTTCAGATTTCCCTTCAAGTCTCACCTTTGAAGTTGCAACTGACTCAGAAGCTGCATTTGCCCTACTTGAGAATAACACATCAGGTGTGTTAAAGTTCATCCAGTCCTCACAGTAACATGCTCTGTTATACACGTGCAACCTTTTTATTTATACGTTGTGAGTAATTTTTGTCTTTCAATGAAAGACAATGTAAAAGGATTTGTGAATTCCCATTCAGTTTAACTTATAACCAGCTAGTTTTCTATTAACTTATCAATAATTTTGCAGAGAAAATATGTATTTTACAAATTTTCTAGAATTAAAAAAACACACATACTAACAACGTAATAGCTAAATTACTAAGCTGTAGTCAGTATGTGTTCCTTAGCCAGAGTCAGTTATTATAATGTACATTATTTCATTTAACTCTTCTAATTCATGCACATATTAGCTATAAATTCAAATGTTCTTTAATTGATTTCCTCCATTCTGTGTGTGTATAAGTATATATACACACAAATACACATATATACACACACATACACACACATTAGTTTCTACCAATAAACCTGTAGCATGAGTTTTTTCACATAAGAAAGCTACCACTTTTGATATACGTTTGCCATTTATTTCTATCAAACATAATTTTATACTTTATCTTCAATTTATTTTCAATTATAAGATTATCAAATTATCTGTTGTCAAATTGATTCCAATATGATTATTTCCACCCGGAAGATAAAAACATAAAACCTCATTCAAATCCTTTCCCACCTTTCAAGGCCAGAGTCAACACCATTTCCTCCATAAAATTCCTGAGATATATATTTAAAAGTAATTTCTTCCTTCTCAAGTCTCTCACATCTTCTTGGGTAAATATATCATTATACTCTAGTTGACTGGTTCTCAAAATGTGAGTCCTGGACCAGCAGCAACAGTATCTGGTACAAATGAAAATTATCGGGGCTCACCTTAGACCTACGGAATGAGAAATTCTAGTGATGATGGCCAGCAATCTGTGCTTTATCAAGTCTTGAGTCTGATCCTGTTTCTGAATGATTAATTGCATAATTTAGCTCTTTATTTAGTTGTATGCTCTATGAGGACAGGATTTATGAGTAATTGCATCTTTCATATAGTAAGTACCCAGAAAATATTTATTGAATGAAGTAATATATCAAGAAATAGAAGTACAGTTTAAGAAAGATGGGACAATTAACTGGAAGGAAAAAGGACAAGATATTTTATTTGAAAGCCTATCATTTGGAGAAGCGAGAGATGCTCTTAAAATATCAGGGCTAGAATCAAGATATATGAATACAAACTACGATTGAAATTTTGATTTCAAATTATTAAAGTTAGGTTATTTTTATTACATTATCTCATTAAATCCTAACAACTCTATGAAATAGATGTTAGACTCATTTCACTAATGAAAAATAGAGGTTCAGAGAGTGTATATTTCTCTCTGTATCAGGGTCATATAGGCAGGCAGGTTTCAAACCCTGTTCTCTTTGATGCATTTTGCCCGTCAGGTGCAGAGGGTCAAATTTCAACTCTAAGAGATAGCTGGTTCAGTCAATTTATTCAACAGACATTTAGCATATATAAATATGAGCCAGGCACCATGCTAGATGCTTAACATTTAGGAACAAAGAGCCAGTTTCCTCATCTGTTAAATGTGGATAATAAATGTACCTAGTACTGTGTGGAGCTGGTGTGATGATTAAATGTAACAGTTATCAAAGCAATAAATAAGACAATCAAAAATTGTGAAAAGTTCAAAGATGGAAAGAAACACTTACAATGAGGAGTTAATAGAAAGGTTCTTGAGTTAGATTCAGTGTCAGGGGAAATTTTTCTAAAGTGGTGACAGGGATGCTGATCTAGAATGACTAGTGTCATTTGGCCAGGTGACAGACTAAGAGAAGAGCACCTCAGACACTGAACCTGCATATGCCAAGCTCTAACACTTGGAGTATGATGGAGATGGAAAGTCACCAGTAGACCAATGTGACACTAAATGCACTACATACTATCAAATTTTATCCATTCCTAAGTCTTTGTGTTCTCCAGATAAGTCTATAAAATGTTATTGATATGACAATAAAGTATATATAAATGTTCCACTGGGAGCAAAAGTTCGTGGTAAATGTGGCATCAAATAAGTCATTTTTTTAAGAGTGAAGACATAAAAGAAAACAGAAATCTGAATATTTTAGAGTTTGGATAAGTCAGTATTTTGAGCAAACCTGAATTTAGTACAATATCCTCTAGTTTTTCTTTCTAACATTCTAAGAATAACTGAGGATGCCAGATGGCTTGGAGCACTTTGTCCATGATTAATGTGTTGAACTATTTCCTAACTGGATTACAGTGGCATTTCTTCTAGAAATTCTCAGATTACATTCCTTCACAATCATACTTACCATTTGATATAAAGTCTGCAATACATGTAGAATGGAAATGCAGTGGTTTGAATCACTGAGCAAAATGGATGAATTTAAAGTGAAAATAAGTTGTAATAAAAACCTTATGTAAGATCTAAGTAACTCTTTGGAAGACACTACTAACTACAAATGTAAATATTTCAATTTAATTACTTTTTTTCTGTTAACAAACTTTGCTTATTTCTGATATGACTAAGGGTAGTAAACAGTGGCTGCTATTTGCTCTACTCTAAAGACTCCAAGCCTTTCAATGACCACATCACATCCTCTTTTTCTGTTTCCTGAAACTAGCAGAAAACTTGACATTAATAACCACCACTAGTGTTTGCTGAATGAATGGTTGAATGAAGTAGATGTTAACATGTCCAACCAAATAATTGTGAATTATTGTTATTCCAACTCTATGGAAATGGAATATCATATACAATGTATTTAATTTTTATTATAGAAATCCTAAGACTGACATTAATTCCTGATGTATATGTTATGCATATATATTTATACTATAATTAATTTGGGATTAATGTATTAAATTTAACCTAATTAATGTGAATAGTATCAATATGATTACATTTATATTTAATTATTTTTAGAAATTCTGACTGATATTAATTCCTAATATATATGTTATATGTATATACATATATACTATAACCATAGTGCCCACAACCATCAAAAATTTACTGTGTAAGAAAAGTAAAAAATGTTGTAATAAGCTAACATTGCTATATTGCTTTAAAATGCAAGTTTAAAATCATTTGCTTGTATCATCATTGAGATATAGTATCATTTAGATTCACATAAAATGAAATGGCAAGGGAAGACAGTTATTTTGAAAAAGCAACACTCAAATGTCTGTCTGCTACACATTCACAGTTGACAGGAGGGAGAAATGTTTCTACGTAGATATATTGAGTGATTAAAAAATATATTTACATGTTAAAAACTGGATATTAACCTTAAGTCTAAATATGCACATTATCATACATATGTATTATAAATCTTACAGGTAACCTCTAAGAAATAGTTGTAAATGAGGAACAATGCAATTGACTACAATTCTATAATATCCTCCACATAATGCATACATTTAAAAAATATTGGGCTGGGCGCGGTGGCTCACACCTCCAATCCTAGCACTTTGGGAGACCAACGCAGGCAGATCACTTGAGCTCAGGACTTAGACCAGCCTGGAGAACATGGCAAACCCCATGTCTACAGAAAATACAAAAAATTAGCCAGGCATGGTGGTGGGCACTTATAATCCCAGCTACTCTGGTGGCTGAGGTGGGAGGATTACCTGAGCTCAGGAGGTCAAGGCTGCAGTGAGCTTTGATTATGCCACTGCACTCCGGCCTGGAAGACAGAGTGAGAACCCTGTCTCAAAAAATAAAATTGGTATTAAATGTAAATATCCCAAATCCTTTCTCCTATTTTTCAACATGTTTATACTGTGGTGGAAGTTGGCCTGAGACATATCTCATATATCATTAGTCTTTGTAAAATACAAATTTGCTAGAATAAGATAATTAATTGAAAAAAATGACAAGATAACATATATGATGTAATGAAATTATTGATGATGTAACTATAGAGAAAAAAAGCCTTAAACATATCTTCCAAATACACTGACCTTCTAATAACCAATATAACATTTGTATGCATAATATTAGTACACTAGACTGAATAAGAGAGCTTAATGCAGTAAAATGAAAACTGATGCTCTCCATTTTTATATTGTTGAAATGTAGTTTTTATTATGTATGAGCAAATATATTTTGTTACTTCCATAAAGCACCCAGAGAAGCTTTCACTACAGCTTCATGAGATATTGATGACTTGCGCTTAATGATGCCAAATTTCAGTCAACCAGGGATTATGAATATGTAAATTGGTGCTCAGAACTCAGTTGTAAATACTAAGAGGCTACTATTATCAAGAAATACATCAAAAAGTAAATTCTTTGGACTCTGTAGAACATGCACTAGCTTTATCCAGCATCTATTTCAAGACTAGTCAAGAAGACATCTCCTGCATCTAATGTTTTGCTTTCTTAAAAAGAAGTTTTTAAAATGGATTATATAGAATAGTAGCTGCAGACAAAACTTAAATGAAGCTAAAAGTGATGATTTAGAGAAGGTTATAGGATAATATGTTGATAGGTCATAGCTAATTATCGGCTTTATCCGTACATATTCGTTTAAAGTGGTCATCTAACTGATTTGTTCATATCTTCTTGTACTTTCTGACAGAATAGAATATGACAGTTGGAAAGCGTTAGTAGCCTGAAACCCGCAGAACCACTGGAAGGCTGAAAGTTTTTGATTTTATTCAGCACGCTAATCATGTGATAATAGATTGGTCATTCTTCTTGATTCCTCCTTCTTAATCAGGAGTTACGGATTATGGACAAATAACCCTTACCTTTCAGTGCTCCAGTCCCTCAGACACCTGTTACCAAAAGGTGTTCTAGGTTTCCCTTATTCAAATGATAGCAGTGGAGAAGTCATTCTCTTAAGGGGGACAGCCAAAAGTTCCAGTGCTTGTTCTGCCCATTACTAGCTGTGTGATCTCAAGTAGATTACTTAGCTCCCCCAAGAAGCTGTTTCTTTATCTGCAAAATGAAAATAATCATAGTCCCTACTTTGTATTAATAGTCCCTACCACAAAATCCCCTATGTAAAGTTTTTAAGGACATTGCCTATAAAGAAAGCCTTCCATAAATGTCCATCTTTTATTATTTTGTTTCATTCCTCTGAACTCTGTGAGCTGTCCACATATCTGTTCTTTTGATCTAATTCAAATGAGACCATAGTAATTGACAAGGTTTTAATGTGTTATAGTCTCCCCTCTGCTCCATGGCATTTGAGTGAGGACCTTCAAATATAATGCACGGGGCAAATACTGCAGGAGTTTTCGACACCACTCACGGACTGTCTCTCTGAGGGTACGTTTATGAGAGGGGTGGAATCTGTCAGCACTCTTCAGATCATCCTATGGAGACTTATTCTCTGTACATGTAAGGGCTGCTTGGTTGGTTATGTCACCTGTGCCTATTGTCTGATTCTTTTTTACTTCTAACCTCAGGGCTGGCCTAAAGGCAAAAATAGTTAAGTAGACTTAGTTTGCTTTTGCTGTCTGCTTCCCTCCCTTTTAACATACTTTCCCATATACCAGCATCCCAAAGATCCCCATCTTTGAAGTAAAGACAGCTGGTGTAGAAGATATAAATCTTATTTAGCAGACAAAGATACCCATTGAACATATATGAAAATGTAAGTATGATATTCTGTCATATAATTGCAATCTAATTAAATGTAATGACTAGCTGTGTTTCCTTTGTAAACAGTGATCTAAGCCAAATGTGTGAATTTCACCCTGCCTGCTTGCGAAGCAGACCCCTATTAAGATGAGCTTGCATGATTTTGGAGTAAGTAGGTCTGCATACAAACAGCTGCTGCAGAAATACATGGCATCTCTCATTAGGGTTCTTTCTGGTAGCAACAGTGCTCCTAGACAAACTTTACTTCTAGTCTTGCTGCAAATAGCTCTTTCCTATATTTAAATGGAGAGATTGGGGGAGAGGGTTCAATTTGTCTATTTCTTAGAATGTAAGGCAGATTATTTTATGTGTTCTTAATTTCTGTAAGTACTCAAAAAGTGGTGAAAATGAACTCTTTAGGGCTCTGATCTCTTTGATACATCTATTTTATTATTTGGTCTATAAAGATTCATTTAAATATTTTAACATCTTAATCTTATTTAAAATATAATTCTTATCAATGATAGCATGTATTACTGTTACACCTTGGATCAGGGAGAACCATACAAACCGCACTGAGGAGAAGAAAGGATTCTGGGGCAAATATGGTCTCATCCCAACCCATTGCAAAAACAAAAACGAAATCTTCTGGTTCCATTTCCTGAAACAGCACTTTGCAAATAAAGCTGACCAAGATTATTATATAGAATTTTTTTTTTTTTTTTTTTTTTTTTTTTGAGACGGAGTCTCGCTCTGTCGCCCAGGCCGGGCTGCGGACTGCAGTGGCGCAATCTCGGCTCACTGCAAGCTCCGCTTCCCGGGTTCACGCCATTCTCCTGCCTCAGCCTCCCGAGTAGCTGGGACTACAGGCGCCCGCCACCGCGCCCGGCTAATTTTTTGTATTTTTAGTAGAGACGGGGTTTCACCTTGTTAGCCAGGATGGTCTCGATCTCCTGACCTCATGATCCACCCGCCTCGGCCTCCCAAAGTGCTGGGATTACAGGCGTGAGCCACCGCGCCCGGCCTAGAATTTTTTTAATTGTAATATTTTCCTGGGAGTTTTTCTTATTTTAGATAAGCAACAAAAAGCTGTTCTTAGAACATACAGTCAGAACTACATTTAGTGATACTCACCATGTGCCAGACACTGTTCTTAGTATGTCACATGTATTGTCTCATTTTACCCTCACAGCATCCCTAAAAGAGATAGGTTCTATTATATTCATGTTACAAATGAGGAAATTGAGGATCAGGTTGTCTTCCACTGCAATCTATTAAAGGAGAATTCGACACAGGTCTGCATGACCATGGAGCTTGTTCTTAATCTCCCTATGACATTGCCTCTTGGAGGTATTTTGCATGTATGAAAGTTGGATTGCAACAGTTTTGTCAGTTTAACAATTAATCAACATCATATTTTTTACTGAAAAACTACTTCTGATGTGGCAGAGTGCACAGTTGGAACAACATTTTTTGGGAAGTGTTTGTAATTCCAATCCACCTTTGTCTTGAGGCTCCAATTTCCCATGACTGTATGCACAGTTGTCATTTTTTTTCCAAAATAACTTTTTAATTGGATAAACAACCAAAAGAATATGACATACCTCTGGTATATAACACCAGTCCTTTGAGCTGGCTACACAAAAGTGCTTCTCTTTTTCAAGTTGATGGTATTTTGAGTTATGTTTTTGTGTGTGGTGTTGAAGACTTTGGGATGAAGAATGAAAAATCTGCTATGGAATTGCTTCATTCTAAAGCCAGAGTTCTTTTTTGAAATTTTATGCTTGTTTTAGCTTTATTAAGACAAATGGATTATGCCTGAGAATGGATTTAGTTGATTTTAGAGATATCATATCAACAGTTCCAAAGGCCAACAGGTTCCTGTATCCCAGGGCAGCTATGGTGGTATCCATTTTACTGTAGCCACTTCCCTTTAGCAATAGATCTTTGCATCACGTTTCAGCCAGGTCTGTTTGTGGCCAAATACATGGATGCAAACCCTGTCATCCTGGTCTGGGGCTTACTACTGCCCATATTTATAACTGATAGCATGTCACAGGGGTTAGAGTGGGTAATGAGACCCAGCTTGCCTAGGAGTGCATGTGTGCAGGCCTCCAGTGGGTTATGGCAGGTAATATAGATCTAGACAGGTAATGGGTCTTAACAGGATTTTAACAAAATCTCAAGTGGCAGATTTGCATGCAAGATCCAGCAAGGCTGTCAGGTCTAGAGTCTATAAGGTCTGATGTCAGCATGCCCAGCAACTTTAAAGTCCAGGGGACACCACTCAGCTTGGATTCCAACAGCCTTCAAGAATTGTCGAATTCATACTTAGGCATAAGTCTTTTTCTTTTAGCTTTGTTTTATCCTTGCTCCTGGGAATGGGCAGTCCTGGCATGAAAGGGTTGAACCTAGGCCCAATTTCAGTGGGAAAAAAGTAGAATCACAATAATTCTATTGATTTTGGACATATTTAATATTGATTAAAAAGAATGACTTCTGGAAACTATGTTATAAGACAAAATCTGGTAAGAAAAAAAGACTAATAACAGTTTTTCTGGTCCTTTTACCTCCTTAAAGTGTTGCTAGATGGAAAGGGGCTTTTTGGTAGAAATATTCAAGTTATTATCAAGAAATAAAATAATAGCACAACCAAAATAATAATTATCCTGCTTTGTATGTAATGACAATGCCACCCAACCCTGCAGGCTCTAGTGAAATATGCAGTTAGTGCTGGGTTGTGGGAAAGCATAGATAAACAGCGCAAAAAGGGATTCATTACCGAGTGAAGTGAATCATTTTGCTTTTCCCTGACATAAGCTGTTCTGTGTTGTACTTTGCAGCTGCAAGCCTTGCTAATTAGCTAGTACCCTGGATCTCATGCATTAAGTTCCAATGGAGCTCACCTTAAGCATTCTTCTTGATGCTAGGCAAGAGTTTTGAACATCTAGCACCATTTCTGCATATTATAATAGCTACCATTTATTGCACGTGGTCACATTTGGTCCTCTGAGAACCCTATGGGATATGTTGTATTGTTGCATTTTATAAATGAGTAAATTTCAATGAAGAGAGGTAAATCTACTTACCCAAGATCAAGGTTATGAAGCTTCAACATATCAAGATAAACCAGGGACACTGACATTCCATTGCATTTCCATTGCATTTTTTTTCTACTTGCCTATATTTATATATCTGTATATTAATCTGAACATGTCTTTTAAATATGTATAAATACATACATATTCTTACTCTTAAAACATGTTTAGTGTTTCTTTACTGTTCTGATGCTGATTCTAGCAGTGTTTTACTTGTCTGCCTAGTTGTTAGTTCAGAGATGGGCAAATCTGTAGCATGGATATCACTCCTTGTTTATCCCTTTCCTTTGGCAGACATAGCCAATCAGCCAATCAGTCTTAGCAGTCTTCACTGAGCCAGTTTCAACCTCATTATCTTTTCCACCCATCACTCTAGACAGGCATGACCAATAGATTGGTTTTGGCTCTCAAGTTAAATCTCTTTGTTATTCCTGTACAAACATTTATTTTTGTCTCAGCCATGTCTTATAGCACAAGGATGAACAACATTTACCTCAGTCTCCTCTCTGATATCCAACTCATATGACATCTTTACTTCCAAAGAGCAATGGTAACAGTAAACAAGTACATTTCATGGTGTTTTGGATTCTCTCCCTTATTATATTCCATTTTAATTTAACATTCACAAGATAAAAGTCGATTCATCTCTAGACTTTTTCCATAAGGAAGCTTTTATTTTTTGATGGAGCAATGTTCATGGAGAATGCTACATATTCACTGCTATAATTTAACAATTTGTTCTTACCAGATTTGAGAAATTTTAACCTCAATATTGTTGCTTTTTGTTCCATTACCAAAGTAAAATATTTTGTAAATTTATACATCAATCAGCATCACCGTATTTTGTTTCCAAACATGCTAAAGGCTATTTATCTTTATTCTGCAGTAGCCATGGTAATTTAGAAGAAAATGAACATGTAGGAAGTTATCTATATAAGTTGTTGCCTTTCATGTCATTTAGTAATGGTTGTGGTGAAACTAATGACTAATGAAGGGTTGTTTTTTTCTTTTTTTCATTTTAGGATGATTAGCCAGATCCAAAAATATGATTTTATCAGCAGGTTATATTTTTATGTTTTGATTTTACTATTTCATATCTAATCTAATTAGGCAATATCCCTTAGCTAATGCTATAGACTTCTTAATTTTAATTTGTGCAACTCTTCGACCCATCTTTTTTGAACGTCAACAAGAAAGGAAAGCCATTTGTTGCGTACCTCACCCAGGTCAAGAGGCTGACCTTCACCATTTTTCAGGCACAGAAATGGAGCTCTGGCACTTATATCCCTTGGGAGAAACCTAGTGACAGCAGGTATACGAGAGGCCAATTGATCTCTCAGTGTCCAGAGACCACCAGTCCCTTTATTTAAGCATTTAGGTTATTAACTTTACAGGACAGCCACTATCCTCTAAAATTCATTTTGATAATTGTGACATCTCACATCATCAAGTGGAGATTTGACCAATATTTAGCTTATTTTATCATTATGGGTAACATTACAGAATAGCTAAACTTGCAGATATTTCACAGGGTCAAGTCTTGGATCTGAAAAAGTTACTTAACCTCTCTTTTATCATCTGTAAAATGGGACAATAAAAATAGAAACTTCAATGGGATGTTGTGAGAATTAAGATAATAAAAAAGAAATATTTATAAGAATCTATGGTGAATATTAAGTCTGCAATAAGTTATAATTATTTTCAGTTTAGACAAGATTTTTATTTTGTACCTTGACTTTCCATACACAATGCCGTTCTATTTATAAAATAACACCAAGTTGAAATAGGTTCCACATTACTGTATTCAAATCCATATGAATTGAGGTTTACTTAATTTTGATGTTTTCTCTCTAATTCTAAAACTTTTTAAATTATAAAAGAAAGGTGTTTATTTTAGAATATATGTTACCAAAAAGATAAACTTAAAATATTTTAAAATTCCATGTAGAAAGTCACTATTTTGTTTTGTAACCTTTGAGTCTTCTCCTGTTTGTATAGAAGAATATATGTATATACTTTTTTAAAAGTGTAATTACACAGTTCATGATGTTCAAATATATTATGAACATCTAAGTCTTTAAACACTATTTTACAACATAGTTTTAATGATTGCATAGTATTCTATAGTGTAAATATAATGGCATTTAAGTTATCCAATACTGTTGGACATTTGGTATTTGAGTTATTTCTTTTTTCTATGTATCCTTCTCTCTCATTCATGATTACAAACTACTCTGCAGTGAATACTTCTTATACTTATGTCATTGTACACATTTTAAGTCATTTCCTTAGGATAAAAATTCATAAACATAGAATTATTTCATCAAAGAGTATATGCATTTTAATATCTTAATGAAAAGTGATTTTTAAAAAAAAATGTTATAGAACATGATCTAGTGTCATTTTTTATTTCCAATTTTGTTAACTTCCATATGCATGTTTTGCTTGAGTACCTGAATAAATCTTTTTGTATCTTAGCAAGGACTATTATTTTTCTTATTCTACATTTTTTCCTTTGAATTATATTTTTACCTACTTGTAATTTTCTGGTTGTCTTCCAGGAATAAATAAATTATACATATGCAGGATATTCTTTGCTTGTCTTTTATATTTATCATTTTCTCTCTTATGCTTCCCAATTCTTTTTTTAATTTTATTTATTTTTATATTTTTCTCATTTAATCTGTTTCTCTTGGTGTTTTTTCCAACACATTTCATGGTGTTTTGGATTCTTTCCCTTGTTACATTCCATTTTTATTTAACTTCTATGTTCTCTTTGGTTCCTTCCATTTTTTTCTTCATTTCTTTCAAGGCTTTGTTTTATTTTAATAATTCTTTCCTGACTTCTACCAGATCACATTTCATCATCTCCTTTTGTCTTACCACTTCATTTCTGAGGTCTTGGATTTCTGCTTTGGGCAAACAGTGTCTCAGGGTGAGCCAGGAATCGGGGTGGGGAGTTGAGGGAGTGGAGTAGGAGAAGAGGCCAAGTTATGTTTCCAGACTTTCTAATTTTATACCATAGACAGTGCTTCTACAAATGTGCTTCCTCTGCTTGACTTTGTGTGTGCATGTACATCCCCACTACTTCTACGGTCAATTATATTATTTTCTCTTCCATTAATTAGCTGTATGTCTGCATTTTAGAGCGTGCCCCTCACTTTCAGGGAGAATTTTCACCTTCTGAGATCTCTTGGTGCAAGGCACACTTGCCATTGCAGTTTCTATACTTTTTACTTCATCTTTTGTCACTCTTCCCTGATCTCAGTCTTTACACAAATTTTAAAGTCTGAAGATTGTTTCCTACTTCTGTTAAAAATGAGTTTTGCAAGGCCCTGTGTTATATATATATATATATATATATATATATGTATATATATATTCTCTTTATTCCTTTTGCTTCCTTTTGGATGCTTTCCAGAAAGAGGAAGTGGAAATTTTAATTAAATTAAAATGTTTATATGAGAAGTCCAAACTACTTAATATTGTTCTAATTATTTAATCAGAATTGCTTTGAAATAGTTGCTAGAAATCTTGATAATCTTGGCTTGGTATGAATCAAATCATATAGAATATGATTCTGTATTTTAAAAATCCAAATATATGAAGTTCACTGTTAAAGTTTTAGCAAGGGAAGCTCCCATCTGGACCTTTCCTGGAAAATGTGTAAAAGGAACTTTTAAAACTGGTTCCACCTGTAAATAAGGGCAATGAAGTAAGTCCCATTTAATTTGAAAAACTTGGCTATTTCTTGAGAACAGGATACCTGCAAGAAAATATAATTTTACTACAAAATGACAACGTTAAAATCTTAAGTTGTAAAAATAGACTAGAGTTATTTAAAAGTTGACCTTTTTTCCTTGTATTGGTTTCTCTCAGACATTCAGATTTTACCATGTATTTGCTTGTCTTACCACCCAAATTCCTGAATTTGTTTCTGAGTGTTTGGCTGTTAAGTGAATAGCTTGGGCAAACCAAATTCAAATTATTTAGGTAGAAATTAGAATAATTTATTTTCATGCCTCAGTGATGGGTCTAAAATGTGGCCCATCATTCTTCTAATAAATTATCAATATTGTGAATTTCCTATTACAGTTCTACAGACATTTGTTGTTTCTCAGAACATAAGGCTACAATGCCTAAATATCATAGCTGATATAAAGTTTAGAATGAACAATAGGAATTCTCTCCTCTTTTATGAAAAGATTATTTTTTTATGTGCTTCAGTTCCACTAGGATGGTTAAAATTACCCAAAACTTGTTAGATCTTGCTTGTTTTGATTTCTTGAATATATTTGACCTATGAGACAAAAGTTACTCTGCTGATAGGGAAGAAAATTATGTAATTAAGCTTTCATTTGTGTCATGGTTCTTATTGGCACAATGCTTTCATGTTTCTGTCCTCTGTTGCTCCTAAGTTTAGTACAATGTGAATGGAAAATTAGGAGTATAGAATTTTCCTAGTTGATTTAGTCTGAGGCTCTAAACACTTAATGCCATTTTGTGGCACTATACGATGAACACTGACAAGGAAATGAAGGGATGACTGAGACAGCTGTGTTTATTGGCTGCCCTCAGTCTTGTCTTTATAAAGGATCTTTTAGTTATAACTGACCTCAGCTAGCCATGGGCTATTTTTTGATGACACAGATTCTAAGGAGAATAGCACACGTGAGTAACTTTAGAAATACATGAGGCTTTTCATGTACTTTTTCCATCTTGACAAACAACTATATACCACAATTATAGGCTACTTTATTTCAGAGTCTCTTTTACATTAATAAAAACTAAACAAAGTAGTTTTTCAATGTCTATCTTATGTGATATATAAGATCATATATCATGTTTAATGATCATGTATCATGTTTTCATTAAACATGATATATGTTCAAGTATATTTCCCATGTGTCAGCTTTTTATTTTTTCAAGATACAATTGCAACAAATTGATGAATAAAACCACGACAAGAAGATCCTTCAGAAAACAACTCGAGACACAGTCACATTTTAAAATGACAGAATATTTAGTACTTGAAATTGTGGGAGCCTGGTGTTCCTGGTTGGGGTATGGCTGACATTCTAGAGGGTGACTGTGGTGGGTATCCTAAGTGTACACAAATTAAAAGACCCCAGAGGATAAGTTTGTGTCTAATCCCAAAGAAAACTCAAGGCAATGGAACATAGTTACCACATTCCAAGGGCAAAGACCTGGGCCAAATTCAGGCAAATTCAAGGCTCAGAATCTCCAAAAGAACTGAAATGAAAAAGAGCAAAAAGAAAATGCAATAGGATGCCAAATCATTTATGAAGGAAGCAGAGTGTCTGCAGTTTAGCTTATTAAGTATCTCCCTTTTGTGGGAGAGGGTTGGGCTGCACTAATGTATCACTGGAAAGTATTACTCTGGACCCAGCCCATTAAGAAAGTCATAACCTATTGAGGGTCTCAGAATAACAGTGCTATCATGAGGTGACAAGGCCCTTTAGGAAAGGGAAATTTGGCATCTCAAGCTCTTCTTTGAGGAGCATGCCGAGATCCAGGAAAAAAACTCTCTTTAGGAAAAGAGGATGCTCATCTTTTCCAGGCCCGTATATTCTTTATGGTACTCATAGCAAACTGAATTTCCAGGTTTTAAAAAATATTTCCTTAGTCAAAATAACTTCTTGCTCTTGAAAGTTTTGAGTTTTCTGACTTCTATAAAACAAACAGAAACATATGTTCTTATTAGGAACAAAGTAGGTATATAGGTAAGAAAGACACAGGGAACCGAATTAAAGAAACAGTAAGGTTTGTAGGCAGACATGCAGGTATTTTAGCCATTTTGCTTTATGGTACTACAAAATTCCTATGAGCAAATAAGGTGGTGGAGAATAAAACTAGTTCCCTGTGGCCCATGGAGCTCACCCATATTTTGTTTTTAATATTAAGGCTCTAAAACCCATATTTATAAACACAAAATGCAGAAGTTGCATAATAAACTCCTGTGTCCCAGTTGTTTGTTTATTCATTCAACAAATATTTATTGAATGCCTATTAAACACATGGCCCCATTTGAGGACATAGCCTGAATCAGATATCATTTCTGCATAGTTA
Organism: Homo sapiens; assembly: GCF_000001405.40. Taxonomy (NCBI): domain Eukaryota; kingdom Metazoa; phylum Chordata; class Mammalia; order Primates; family Hominidae; genus Homo; species Homo sapiens. Next base: position 51,189,704 of record NC_000010.11, read on the forward strand.
CTAATATATCTGGAATTAAATTAAAATATTATGAATGTAGAATTATAATTAAAAAGAGAACAAGACTAATTATATAAACAATAAATGAATATGCATTTAGAGCCTAGGTGTTGAACACTGTGCTATATATTTTGTATTTATTTATTAGCTCACGTCATCCAAATGACTCTGTAAGGGTGGCCTACTGTGCCCATTATGCAGGGAGAAAACTGAAGATTATAGTTGTGGAGTGCCTTACCTAAGGCTACAGAAATAACAGGCAGGGTCCAGATTTTAACTCAGATCTTCCGACTCTTTGTCCAGTAACCTACTATACATGCGCCTTAGAAATGTGAAGTCAAAGCAGTTGGTTATGTGTGTGAGTGGTTATATGTGTGACTAAACACTTGAGTTCATACGTAACAACATTGTTGTTGTCATATCTATAGTCTAGAAGTAGTTCATCTTTTGTTTTTTATATTTCAACTTTTATTAGTAACTGTACAACTAATTACATGATTACTTGTCTGCAAGTAAATAATAACTAAATAAGTGAGTAAAAAGAAGTAAACATAGAATGTAATACTAAATACCTGAAGCTGGCCTACAGATGATGGATTATGAAAATTATTGCACTGAGGTCTATAATTGAGCAAACTGAGCAAATGAATGCAGCAGTATTATGATAAAAATCTAGACAATCATAAATGGCTGCTGAGAAACTGATGCAAGAAAGAGATTAGCAAGGTAGATGGGTACTAATGGGAGTGAGAATGCAAACATAGTATGGACTAAATGTGAATAAACAACTCATAGGGCCAGTGAGAGACATGGTATAGTGGAAGACAGGAAGATAGGCTAAAAAAAGACCTAAAGAACCAGCTGCTCTAGGTTGTTCCTTTGCCTGAAATGCTGGACAAATCTGGGAAGACCCAGGAGTTCTCTTTCTTTGTGCTCTCTTTCCTTTGTTCTTCTGATTTTGATCTTGATTAATATTTACATATAGGACAGTGGTTGAGATTTATATTTTTATTCTGTGGAATCACAGAGCTGGGTTTGAATATGAGTTTTGCCACTGATCGACAGTGAAGTGCAGAGCATGTTATTTAAATGTTTTGAACCTCCACTTTTTCTTTGTAAAATAAAAGTACAAATCCTTCCCATATTGTCATTGTGTAAATATGAGAAGAAGAAATGAAACAAAGGGTGTAATGTCTCTACTATGGAGCCAGACATGTTATGGATGAACAATAATATGTGGTTGTTACAATTATTATGCTCAGGTGATCACACTGGGTTCCCATACCTTCGGTCTTTCCCTGGTTCACTAGAATGCTTTGGCTAATACAGTACAGCAGGGGCTGGAAAATAGTAGGCTAAACTGTTATACCTTGATATATTCCTCCTAAGATTTGTTTATCAGTTTGAGCTCATTGAATCTCTGACCATCCAGATTATTAACAGAAAATATTAGTCCTCAAACTAAATATAACTCTGAGAAATTAAGAAATTTCTCAGAAAATAATACTCAGTGTGGTTTCCTGAGAACCAGAACCACATTGGGTATTGTTCTCTGAGAAATAGTTTACCATAGTGGAGCTAAGATTGCTTTTGTTTGAATCTCCTTTTTTCTACTCACCACCTGCATAACTGTGGGTAAATTATATAACTTCTAAGCCTCAGTTTCTCCATATGTAAGAAAAGTGAAATAGTGCTTACCTTGTAGGTTTGTGGTGAAGAATAAATGCGTGTAAATAATTGGAGCAGTGTCTGGCTCATAGTAAGCATTCAAAATATAATTAGGTGAAGTTAAACTTAATTTTATCCCTTATTTCCATCCATTTTGTTTTCTAACTGTCAAAGTAATATGGTGATGATTATTATTATGATGATAATTTATTGAGACTTATTAGTGGCCAGATACTGTGCTAAATGCTTTTTAATGCCTTATCTTATTTAATCCTCATACCAAACCTGGATGATATTACCATTATCCTCATTTTATAGACCATCAAACTGAGGCTTAGAGGTATTCAGCAACTTGACCAATCTACGTAAGTATCAGAGCCACTACTAGAACCCAGAGTAAGACTACAGTGCCTTAACTCAATCTTATAAAGAAGATTGCTTATTTGATGAGTTGGGGAAGGTCTATTACATCCCCTAGGCATAGTGAGTTTTTCCAGCCTTCCTACTAGAATTTTGGATCTACTTTAATACAAAATGAACAGCAAATAAAGTATCATTCTGTGGGTCATACTGAAGAGGGCCCTCCTTAGGTCAGTGGTTTTGAGGTTACTAAAATTCCACTGAATCTGTAGTGCAGATGTTATTATAAGAATTTCTCCACCTGACTGATGATGCCTGTGGACTAGAGCCATGCACATATGCTGAAAAACTTCCCATTTCCTCCTAATTCTAGATTTAAATACTATCCCTCAAGCTATTGTACTTCATTAAAAAAAAAAATTACACATAGAGATGTCCAGTATTTCTATATAAGTAATGTAGGGTAGAATTATTTCTATCAAGAAATAAAGCATGCATTTCCAAATCATCAGCTTTATTTGCCATTTTGAAATAAAATCCATAATATTTAATGAAACAGGGAAGACCACATGACCTTTGGAAGCTTTCTTAGCCTCTCTGCATTTCATTTTTCTTATCTGTAAAATAGAATGGGTTGAGATGGGACTCTATTAAACTTTGAAATTCTAAAACTCTTGACACAAAAAGTTGTGATTCATATATGTGACTATTTTAGAATAAGAAATCTCAACAGAAAAAAATGTAGTCTGGACTTTTATTTAAAATTCCATTCTAAAATATTCTTCAGACTTATTTAATGTCCTACCGAAAGATTAGAAATGTTACTGGGGAGTTAGGAAAGTGAGCCTGAAGAGGAAAATAATCTGATTAAAACATTTTTATTGCAATAAAAGAAAAAAACCATGAGTATTTTACCCAGTAAAGAGATTTTCATCTTAAAAAGGAAATGTTTATTAACCCAAATTAACTTCTAAATTAATGGATTATCAGTCAATATGATAAAGAGAAGTAAAAAATTGTGGTCTTGGAAAAAGGGACCACTTGGAGGCAGGAGGATTTGTAGAGAGGAAGCCTAGTAACATCACGTAGAATGGCCATTCATATCTGGAAGTCTACCTTTCAAGTCATTCATTCATTCACTCACTCACCCATTCAGTCTTGTTTATTTATTGAGCATTTGTTGGAAAAATCTGGTCTCTACCAATTTTGTAGTTTAGTGGAGGAAAACAGAGAAGTAAACCAATCATTTTAATATAGCTATTTAAATGTTAGAATAAAGCTAAAGTCAGGGTTCTCAGTTAGTAAAAGGACATCTAATTTAGCTGAGATCATGGAATCTTTACTAGGGAAATTCATACTTAAATTAGGTTTGAAAGATGAATGGGAGTTGACATTGACTAGTGCTCAGTAATTATTAGTTGAATGACAGAAATGGTAGAGAAGGAAGTCATGAAGACTAAGCGAGTATGACAGTTTGGGGAATGAAGGTACTTGAATATAGCTCGAGCATAGAGTAGCTTTTATCAGTATGCCTCAGAAACCATCTACATCAAAATCACCTGGAGGTACTGTTGAATATGCAGATTTCTGTGTCCCACCCTATATACACTGATTCAGAGTCAAGAGTAGGGTCAGGGGATCTTGACCTTTTTAATAAGCATTGTATCACAAGGTGGATTGTTATTATATATATAATAATGTTAAGAACCACTGCCGCAGATTTTATATTAGAAATTAATGAAACTACATTATTTGCATTTTATCATGCTGTCCTTCAAAACTATAGATCATCTGCGCCATCAGTGCCAACATCTTTTGGACACCTAACTGTCAGGAGTTGTGGAAGGGAGCTCCTGTATGAAATGTTTGTTTGTAAATTAATATAAATTAGGAGTAAATTAGTTGTTTTACTTTGTGAGAAAAAGACTAGCCTTCAAAACCAAACCTCCAACTATTGATTCTTATCCCTGGATCCAACTTCCCTGTTGCTGGTCATCAGAGATCATAAGCCAAGGAGAAAAAGGTTAATGTTCTCAAAATGTGTAGTAACTTTACTCTGTTTGATCCATCCACCCACAACTTTTCTCAGCCCCTAATTCAAGCCAGCAAATCTGCACATTTGTGCCTATAATCACAAGACAGACCAGATGCGAAGGAGGACATAAATTGATGACATTTCTTAGGAAAGCAACACCCTAAAACTTCACTGCAAGACTCTTGCTGGGGCAGGTCAGGAACACTGTCTTTGTAAATTGTTCAGAATGAAAGCAGAATGTTTTCTCCTTAGTAGTCTTAAATTATGACCTTCTATTAATTCAAATTCATTAATTTCAAATTGTTTTTCATATCTCTTAACTATGTTATCACTTTTTCTCATATTTCACCCCTTTGGTAATATGTGAGATTATGTTTAAAAAACCACATCTATTATTCTACAAAATATGGTGTATTTTGGCACACAGTAGAAGATTAGTATTTAGTATCAAGGTTCAACTTTTTTTTTAGTTTTTTTTTTTTTCAATTATACTTTAAGCTCTGGGGTACATGTGCTGAATGAGCAGGTTTGTTACATAGGTATACATGTGCCATGGTGGTTTGCTGCACCTATCAACCTGTCATCTGCATTAGGTATTTCTCCTAATGCTATCCCTTCCCTAGCACCCAACCCCCTGACAGGCCCCAGTGTGTGATGTTCTGCTACCTGTGTCCATGTGTTCTCATAATGAAGTTTCTGTGTACAAATTTTATGGGAGTAATTATCCTCTGTTGAATATTGTAAAACTTGCCATCGTTTATTTTACCCATGGCCTGCTTTTTAGGTAGAAATGAGTTTCAACAGTCCTAGAACTTTTTGTCTCTATCTAGGTTACATTGAATGAAAAAATTTATTTGTGTTCAGATTGTCATATTTTAGTAGTTTTTCGGTGTGTGTATCTTAGTTTGTTTTGTGATGCTATAACAGAATACTACAGACTTGGTAATTTATAATAAACATAAATTTATTGACTCACGGTTCTAGAGGCTGAGAAGTCAAAGATCGAGGGCCCAGCATCTTGCAAGAGCCTTCTTGTTGCATCATCTCATGGTGGAAGAGCAAAGAAAGGATGGGAGAGAGAAAGCGGGAACCAAAAGTTCTTGTATAAAGACCCCACTCTGGTGACAATGAAATCACTCTCCAGATAATGGTATTAATCCACTCATGAGGGCAGAGTCTTCATGGCCTAATAACCTCTTAAAAGTCTCACCTCTTGTCACTGTTGCATTGGGATTAAATTTCCAACACGTGAACTTTGGAGGGACACGTTCAAACCGTAGACTTGTGCTAAAACCAATGCCATACATGTTTGCCCATGCAGGAAACACATAGCCTTCAGTGAAGCTTTAGAAATTGATGGAAACTTATTTGAGAAAAGGGTGTTGTATTTAAAAAACAGTAAGTTCAGTTCTAATAAATCCACATTTGATTCTTAGGCTGATTAGCCACTGATGAGGACATCTTATTCATCAATTTATGCTTATTTTAGTTATATTTGTGGTATAATGAAGTATCTTTGAATTGGACCCGTTCATCCCTGAGGCAGGTTAGTGTTACTGGCACTTGAGTTACCTCCTTAATTCAGTTCAAACGTCAGTTTTCAATTTTTTAATTCTTTTGCTGTTTAAAATAATCAAACAAATTAAAGATGAATAATTACTGGCTCCATTCCTATAGTAACAAGTGTCACATTCTGACAACTTCAGAAACAAGGTTGGTTATTTTCAGCTTTCATTGTTTACACTCTTCAAAAATAAGGATGAGAAATTTATTTTATTTTCTTTTTATTAGTCAATAAGTTCTACTTAGGAGGCATAAAGTTCTCTGAACGATAAGTTAGGGCTCAGATAAGATTGTTTTAATACTGACTTCAATGCTAACTTAAGGAAAACAGATGATATCTTAGCTCTCCATTTCTTTAAGACTTAAGACTATGGTTGTTCGGGTATACAATTTATTTTATGTCTCTTAGAAAATTGTCATAAGTCTTATTTTACTTGAAGAAGATAAATATGATGATAGTAACAGAACAATCAGAAGTGGTTATTCTTTTATACTAAATTTCAACTAATATCTATTAAGTACTTATGGCATGCCAGACCCTGTGATATGAGCTGGAGATTCCAGTTTTATAGAGAGATACAGTGTTTGTGGATGACTTTATGTTTAAGTCTGGGTTGGGTAGAACACATTTTCCACTTGAGCTGCAGCAGGATTCCAACTGAAAACATACTTCAATCTTGTAAATTCTAAGTTCTAGTGTATACTTGATGATTGAAGGGAAAAGAAAGAGAAGGGAGGATCCTTGCTATAATTATGGTCAAGAAGTAGAAAGGAGCAGGAGGGATAGTAGGAAGGAGAGGCTATAGATTGGTCTTTAGTAGGACAAGGTTGGTGTTTAGCATTATTGCCTTTGCAGGAGGTTAAAACCTTTCTGTATCCCAGATGGGAGTTAGTTTTATCAACTATGTTGAAAACTAGTATATATGTGTATGTATGTGTGGGGGAGAGGGAAGAATTGCATGTATTTGAAGGCTTATATGAATTAGATTTATTTTTATATACTTTTACAAGTAATATGCACATATACATTCAATTCTACTATAGCAAAACATGTACATTTCTTATTACCACCATGTTAGGCAAAATTGTACAAAAATAATCACAGTGCTTATAGGAAGAATGAAATTAGGGACACAACACTAGAAACCTTTGTCAGTGACAGATAATAAAGAAAGGAACCTAATAAAAATTGTACCAACTTTTATGCATGTTAATTGCTTAGAACATACATAAATACTACAATAACTGTGATACTTTACCTTGAAAATGCCTTAAGTTTGATAACAGAAGTGAGCATGAGAAATATTTGGGCTTGTGAACTGTGAAGTAATAGAAGAAAAATGACCTGAAATTCAGCAGAAAGTTTAAACTTCAGGTGTGGATAGGTGTGACTCATAACACACTGAAGCAGATGGTAAATATTTGAGTTATAAACATGTGTATATTTTTTGTACTCTTAAACAGCTCAGTTCAAGTTGGCCACTTTCTGCAGATGAAATTGTGCAGAAGCAAATATAAAATTTGTTTTATCCTCAAATTGTTTCATAATATATGAATAACAGTGGAATGAATTTGTGTTTCATAACAAGCATAATAGTGTGTAGAGATATATTTCCCTTCTCTTGCAAAGTACTCAACCTGTCTTGACTTTGGCACTTCTGTTCTGCTTGTGTTCTGATTATTTACACTTATGCCTTTTCCTCAATTAGGTATTAAGCTTTTCTAGGGCAAAGGCTGTCTTTGGTATGGCTTTAATTGGTACAGTACCTATTTAAGTGACTTACCCATTTATAAAAATTATTAACACCTGTGGAATGAATAGCTGTAATTGAAAATTGAGACGTAGATGGACAGATTTCAAAAAAGCAATAAAGGAAGGTTTCAAAAAGGAAATAAAATATCTGTTGGTGTGTTTTGAGATATCGTGTTTATATTTTATTTATTTATTTAAATTGTTTTTTGAGATGGAGTCTCACTCTGTCTCCCAGGCTGGAGAGCAGTGACATGATCTCGGCTCACCGCAACCTCTTTCTCCTGTGTTCAAGCGATTCTCCTGCCTCAGCCTCCCAAGTGGCTGGGACTACAGTGCCTGACACCAAGCCCAGCTAATTTTTGTATTTTTAATAGAGGCGGGGTTTCACCAAGTTGGCCAGGCTGATCTCAAAAACTCCTGACCTCAGGTGATCTGCCCACTTCGGCCTCCCAAAGTGCTGGGATTACAGATGTAAGCCACTGTGCCTGGCCAACATTGTGTTTATTGAAAGTATGCAGTGAACCAGAAATTCTACAGGACTGAGGTACACATATGTAGCATATGTGTATATACTAGTATATACATAGTATATACACTCAAGACAAATCATTAAAAGGCTATCTCCTCCTAGAATACTTTTAGCCAGGGTCAAATTAAATAAGGTGTGTTTTTTTTCAGAGGAAAATAGTTAACAAAGGAGCAGCTTAGCAGGTTTAAGAGGTGCTATTAGGCTGGTGCAAAAGTAATTGTGGTTTCTGCCATTAAAAGTAATTGCAGAAACCAGAATTACTTTTGCACCACCCTAATATATCACCAAACTTGCCATATTATCCTTTAGACAAACATTCGACTTTAAAAGTGTTTCCATAAAGCCCAAGCTGCTTTAAGGAATCCTCTCAAATCTGTGGTGAAAGAGAAGACAAAGGTAAGAGCTTTTGGTACCCTTACCTTCATTTCAAATTTTGATTATTTTGCTTTTATTATTTTGTTTATGAAACATATGATTCCCTGGTCATCAAAAATAAAAAAATGTTTGCAAGTCAGTAGTCACAGTTTTGGGCAGGATAGTTGGGGTACTGGTGATGGTGGTATTAGATCTTATTTATATGGATGTGAGCTTCTTGGCTTTCTTAGACTCAACTGGAGTTTGTCATATCTTCTCCCCTTCCTTTTTTCCGCATGATAATAGAACTCCAGCAGCAGAGGTAGCATCTAGAGTGTATGGCTAGGAGGAGCTGCACATATCTGTCATATTATAGCACTAGTGGTCTAAGGGAAGATATTTGGACTGCATTGTGTAAAGCCTATAAAACTTCTGGCAGTCTTCCATTCGAATAAATATCCAATGAAATTCACAGTCGGATGTAAAAACCTGTGAGAGATTTCCCCATAAATTAGTGTAACTTAATTTAAAATTTTCTGAGCACCAGTAGAAGAATTCTAGATCTTAAAAACAGTGTTGTATTTCTAGAGCAGTGCTTTTATGTACAATTGATAAAGTATCTATGAAAATTGCATTAAAGCATTCATGGAGGAAGACTCTATAACATACACTCAGCTCAAAATTTCAGCAGCTGATTATCCTGTTTACAGGTTATTGGACCTTTCATTTTTCTTATGCCGTCAGTCTTTGGGCCATTTCCCACATTAGCTATTTGACAAGACTATCCGGGTAGAAAGTTAGTTAGACCTGAGTTTGTCAATTAGGTTAACAGTTACAGTTTCATTTAAAGGTTTGATAGAAATGGATGTTGAAACCCCTAAGTAAGATTTAGTTATCCGTAGATTTAATCAATCCATGATCTTCCTCTTGCAAATTACCACAAAAATATCAAGAATCATTTTTTTAAGCACTTTTGGAAATGCAACTGAAATCTTATGCCTTGGAGAAGGAGGTAAGGTATAGCTTCATCTTTGATAAGAAGTGATACTGAAAAATCAGAAGTGCAAAAAGGGTGACGAACATCTGATTGTTAAAGCATTGTTTTCTTCTCATTCCTTTTTCTGGGGTAAAATTGCAAACAAATGAATTGTACATGAAACTATTTGCCATAGAACCAATTAGCCAAATGTCTACACATGTTATCAGTCTGAAAAAGTTGGGAGGGGAGGTATCAGTCTAGTTTTGCTGAATTAATAAATTCAATAATTAGAATCTTCACTATGTATAACTTAGCAAGTAGTGGTACCTGTGCATCTGTATGCATGACTCTCAGTCAAATATAACCATGTGTTCTTCTGAATGCTAGTATCCCTTTAACTGCTCTTATGATATAACACCCATTAAGAATACACTTAATAAACATGTACTATGTTCTAGATATTGTCCTAGGTTCCAGGTTTATATGTGAATTCAGATCCAGACTCTAGAAAATTCAGAGTCTGGAAAAGGAGACATGTATGAGTGTGGCCGATTTCTTCTCTCTGCCTCTGCAGATCTATTTTCTACCATTATCGGCTGTGTTACCAGCACAATGGCCTGTATGGACTACCAAAGGGCTTCCTGGCCATCAGAAAGTGGGATTCAGGCTATTACAGGGCCAACCCAGCAATAGATAAGAGGAAGTTGAAAGTGAGGTCGGGGTATTTCATCTCCCTGTGACTTTTCTGGGCCTGGCTTTGTTTCTTCACTGAATTTCACTGCTCATCTCAAGGCAGCCTCCTTTGCCAGCTCTCTTCTTTCAGGTATTGGTAATAATTCTCTCCCTTTGACGCTTTGGGCTAGGGCTGGTGACAGCTCTGCTGTTACACATCCTGGGTTACAGTGCTAAATCCTGTGTCTCCCTTATATTCTACCCCAAATTCTGATGATAGTCCTTTCCTAAATGAACACTCCTCAAGTGACCCTAATGCAAGAGAGCTGTTTCTTCTTGGATTCTCTACGTGTTATTTAACAATATAAGTCGGGTAAAAGAAAGCCTACAAAACACTAGGGACATACAAAAGAAAGAAGGATCGCCTCTTCTGAATAGTAAGTATCAGGACACACAGCTCAAAGTGGTGGCATGTGGGCTAACACTTGAAGGATCAGAAAATTTATGAGGTGAAAAATACGGGAAAAAGCATACAGAGTGGGAGGAAACACACTTGCCAGAATCACAGAGGTTGTAAATTCAATAGCTAGTTCTGGGAATAGTTAAGGATGTGTGGTTGAAGCCTAATATGTGTGAAAGGAAAGGATGGGAGACATAAAGATGACAGCAGCAAAACTAGTGTGTATCTTTTCTACCAAGATCTCTGTGCCTAGCACAAACATGATGTTCAATAACAGTTTGCTAAGAAAATAGGTAAATCAATAAATACAAAAGTAGACAGGAGGCAGATTATGAAGGGTTTGAATGCTAAGGAATTTGTACTTCACAGCTAAAATGATAGAGACATAGAAAATGATTTTGAATAGGGGCTTGATGCATTGTAATATTCTTCCTTTCAGTTATCAGTACATTTATTGTCTCCCTTACCAGATTGTAACCATGTTGAAGGCAGGAAACAAGTCTTATTGATCTATATACCCCCATTATCTCTGAATGAAAGGATTCATACATTGTTGGCACCCAAAATCTGCTTGCTGAATTATTGCAAGTATAAATTACATGCTTGGAGTTTTCATAGCATGTGCATTTTATTTTAACCATTTTTATTAGAGCTTTTAAAATGAAACCATACTGATTTTATCTCAAACATTGATTTAAACATGATACAACTGAAAGCAGAAACACAATGCCACTGATGGGTTTAATATGCTGCCTACTGAAATATCATTTGTTCTTTTATTAATCATCGATCCACAGAAGGCCTCAACTTGGAAGATGATTGACTACAGCTCAGAGATTCTCTTGAGGGTTTTAGGGAAAGATTTGGCTCTTTCTGTAAATATTTATTGCCATAATCAGTAGTTTGATGGGGCCACTAATGAACATTCTGTCCTTAAGAATGAAAAGGATCACTTTTCATCAGAAATATCCCTCACTATTTTCACTAATCTTTATCTTAAATCTCTAAGAGTGACAAACTGTTCAATTTTTCCATGGGTATGAATTAATTTAAAACTAAGTGTATTGGCTCAGACTTGCTAATAAGTATAAAAAATATTTTAGGACAGGCATGGTGGCTCATGCCTGTAATCCCAGCACTTTGGGAGGCCGAGGTGGGTGGATCACCTGAGATCAGGAGTTCTAGACCAGCCTGGCCAAACTCCATCTCAACTACAAATACATAAGTTAGCCGGGCGTGGTGGCAGTTGCCTGTAATCCCAGCTACTCAGGGGGCCGAGGCAGGAGAATCACTTGAACCTGGGTGGCGGAGGTTGCAGTGAGCCGAGATTGTGCCGTCACACTCCAGCCTAGGGGACAAGAGTGAGACTTTGACTCAAAAAAATAAAATAAAAATTAAAGCAGGAAAATGTAATATATCAAAGCCATGTATTTTTATTTGTGTTTGTTCATTTATTAACCTGTCATTAGTAAATGCTATGGAATAAATGCCTGTGTCTCTCCAAAATTTACATGCTGAAATCTAATCTCCAATATGATAGTGCATAGAGGTGGGGTCTTTGAGAGCTAATTGGGTCATGGGAGTGGAGCCCTTGTGAATGGATTTAGTGACCTTATAAGAAGAGGCAGGGGAGCCAGCTTGCTCTATTTCTGCCATGTGAGGATACAACAGAAGCTGTGGGTCTGCAACCTGCAAGAGTCCTCACCAGAACCCAACCTTGCTGGCACCCTGATATCAGACTTCCAGCCTCCACAACTGTGAGAAATAAATGTCTGTTGTGTATAAGCTATCCAGTCTACAGTACTTTGTTATAATACCCCAAACTGACAGACAGCAAGTGAACAAGTTTCTATTTGTAAGAATATACTAATGTACTTCAAAGTTATTTCCTTATGTAGGCAGGTCTTTTTTAACAGCTACTGACTGAACATCTACTGTTTTCTGTGAGCTATTAGAGGTGTTATGAGGGATTCTGTAGCAGATGCTATTGGTGCCCTCCCTGGACCTTCTCTACTAGGTGGGTACACCTGCCTCCCAGCTGTTGTGGGTGTTGATTGTTAAAGGTTCACACCTACACTCTTCCTCAAAGCGTTATCTATGGCCAGTGGGAGGTGCCCAGCCCAGAGATGCATGGGAAGTTATACTCCTCTACACAGATGATCCATGGGCAATGACTGACTGATGTAATGTGTAACAGCCCAGCTTTCTCACACTTGAGAGAAAATGTCTAGGTGCAGTCTATGCTGTAGAGCTCTAATGGGATCAGGCTGAATATAGACTCCTCTTGGGCCTCAATCTTTGCCTGCCATCCTCCACCATTCTATCCTGCTATCCTCCACCGTTCTATCCTGCTTTTCTCACTCCCCAGAAGATTTCTCCTGAGAACACTGCTTCAGTAAATCTCCTGCAAGAATTCCTATCTCAGGCTTTGCCTCAAGAAAACCCCATTTTAGACAGATATACACACACACAAAAAAAGACATAGACTCTTCTAAAGGAATGCGTAGTCTAACAGTGGAATATGTTTGTAAATAATTTCAACTAGAATATAGAGTGAGTTAAAAGAAATACAAGGGTAGTTTATGGGGTTTAAACAAAGAAATTCTTCACATAGATTATGGATAAGATGAGAAATCCTTGAAGTAAGATGATTTGAGATTCGTTTGAGAATTGCAAGTAGGCCACTTTGTCTGGGAAAGAAGTGGAAGGTTATGATGGAGCCATAATGTGGCATGCCTTGAAAGCTAGGATAAGGTGTTTATTTTTAATTTGAAAGCAATGGAAAGCCATTGAGTATTTTTTGAGCATCACATTGATTCTGTTGGAACTGGGCTTCTGAAGATATATCTGGCTGACTATATAGAATAAATATTAGTGGCAGAAAATGAGAGTTGGAGAGACCAGTAAGAAAGCTAATAGACAAACGAGAAACAATGATGTCAACGGGGTGAGATATAAATGTGAGGGACATTTTAGGAGTAGAACTCATAAGACTTGGCAAGTTATTGAATACAGAGGGAGAGAGAGAGAGAGAGAACAGTGTCTCAAGGATCTTGGGCCTACTTAAATGGTCACTTATTAATGCCTTCCCCAAAGTGGAATTGTTGCACTGAAGGATATACGTATTAAACATTCTGTTATAAAATGCACACACTGAGTTTTGTCCCTTTTCAAACATTGGTGACAATTTAATGGCAGGAATGATATTGTTATTTTCATTCATTCTGAAAATTATGAATAAAAGGAAACACATTAATGTGTTTTGTTGACTATACCCATCATGGCATTCCTTCTGTTATATTTTCGTCTCTCCTTGAGTAAATTCTTGCTCTACATGGTTTGATGCTGTGTTATGAGGACCATGATGACTTATGACAGTTTGAGACCCATTCAGACTATTTTCTGACTAAAAACCAAGAGGAAATGGAATTCCCAAATGGAATTTTCTAGGCAATTGAGGGCACAGCTGGATGTGCTGCAATGCTAAACAAAAGCCTCCCCTGTAATACCCTCAAACAGCACTGTGGAAAGGCTTTGGGTGAAAAGACCTGCGCTTGAATCCTGGCTCCACCAACAGAGAGTTGCACACATTTGGACAAATATCTTAAGCTCTCTAGGCCTCAGT